>NC_000010.11:55749155-55900671 GCF_000001405.40 Homo sapiens
AAGTCCCCTGATGAATGAATGCCTTGGTATTTGTGACTCCACGTAAATCAAACGGACGTAAAAAGAGATCTCAATTTTGGCACCAACAAATTGATCCCACTGGATGGTGGCTGATAAAATGCATCTTTTTCTGAAGTTCAAAAAGACCTTGGCGGATCAAGGCAGCAATTTAGAAGATAATAAAGTCTGGAGAGAATTGACCAAGTTTCTTGGAGTTTATATAAAAGGAAGACTGAGAGTGAAATGTCAAAATATTGAGGAGTACAACATCATGATCATTATAAAAATTACATTATTGAAGGTTGCATATATGGATATATGCAAAGGATATGAAAGGGATAAAGCCTTTTCATAAAAATATAATAAAAAATCAACATTCATTTTCACTGGTAATTTATTCTAAGCCTTATTTCCAATGACGCTGTGTGTGTGAGTGTGTGTGTGTGTGTGTGTGTGTGTGTGTGTTTCTAGGATTAAATATATATGTGCCTTTCTTCTGGGATTAAATCTTTTCACTCATCTTCTCATTGCTTATTTGATTGTGTCTAAACATCTTATGAAGAGATTTGGCTTTTGCTTTATTTCTAAATGCTTCTCATTAGCACCTAGATTCCTGCTGTATCAAACTTTAAATGTTTGAAATACTACATATAATTTTAGTTCTCTTGGCCTTGGCTCATATGGTTTAATTTTCCTGGAAGAGTTTTACCTTACTTGACCATTTGGAAAACTCCTATTCTTTTCTAAGGTCCTGTTCCTGTATCTCGGTATTTTTGAAAGCTTCTCTTGACCTTCATAAGCAAACCTGTATTGTTACTTCTTGTTGTGTCGTTTTTTTCATAATATACAGACTTGGCTCTTCACCTTTAGCATTTAAAAAAATTGCCATTATTTTTTTAAATGAACTTTTCTAGCCCCAATGCCAAATTTGCTCACAATAATTTTTAGAATAAATTCAAAAATACACTAAGAAGATTCTTATACAAATAGTTTGAGTATCTTACTCTGAGAACACTGTTCCATAGCTATTATCACTTTTCGCATTAATATTTTCTAAGTCTTTGTTTTCCTTAAGGGAAGGGAATGGATAACATTTATTGTCCTAGCACCTGTTACAGGGATGGACAAGTAGTATTAATTTAATAATTGAGAATCATTTATTATACACTTACATGGAACTTAATGTAGGTCTGTACAATTGTAAGCTTTTTATAAGTATTAGACTGATTTAAGTCTCATTATAAACCTATGAAGGTGCTACTCTTATTAATTCCTTGTTTTTAGGTGAGTAAACTCAACAGACAAATTACTAACTTGCCTAATTTCAGGCAGTTAGAAAGGCAGCTCTAACTAAAATGTAAGAAACATGATTTCACATTAAAGGAATTTATCCACTTCATAACACTTCTGGAATGTTGATTTTTAGAATATTTATTGTAGTATAACACTGACATATGTACCAACATCAAATGTACAGCCTGAAAAATTATCCAAAAGTGAGCACAGCATTATAAAGATGACTCATGTGAAGTAATAAAATCTGAGCCGAATTCTAGGAAATTCCTTCTTTCCCTTACGCAGTAGCTACTCTCCCTCTCACCATTATCCTCACATCTGTTGATACTTTACAGCTACTTCTTTCACTCAACATGCAGTTTGTGTGTAAACATAACACATTGTACTTACTTATTCTATATTTGATATATATTTTCCAGTTTGGAGCTAATATAAATTATGCTTCTAGAAAGATTATTATACATATCTTTAGGAGGAAGTATATGTACACATTTATGTATGTATTTCTATATACACACAGTGTATATATGTATACATACACACAAACACGCAAACACATATATGCGTATATAGTCAGGATGGATTTGGACAATGAGGTAGAAAGGATACGTTCATTACAAGATTAAGTCAAATATTTTTCAGAGTTATAGCGATTTACATTCCCTTCATCAGCGCATGCAAATTTCGTTTGCACAGCTTCTATAGAAACCCTAAATACACTTTATTTTTTAAAATTTAGTTTTTTCATAATTATAGAGTAGAATTTATTTTTATTTTTAATTTGTATTTATCTAATAAGTAATAAGTAGCTTGATTTCCTTTTGTTTATTTTTTCTTTCTTTAATTTTTTTTAAATTCTGTGGTAAAAAGTGCTTTGAAAAGGCCTTTGTTGATGTTTCATTTGGTTGTACTTATTATTAACTATTTATTTAAAAAAAATTTTTTGGAGATGGTTCTAACTCTGTCATCCAGGCTGGAGTGCAGTGGTTGATCAGAGCTCACTGCATCTTTGACCTCCCAGACTCAGAAGAGCCTAGCTACTCAGGAGTAGCTGGGACTACAGGCCAGAGCCACCATGCCTGGCTAATTTTTAAAATTTTTTGTAGAGGCAGAGGTCTCTCACTATGTTGCCCAGACAGGTCTCAAATTCCTGGGCTCAAGTGGTCCTACCACTTTGACCTCCCAAAGTGCTGGGATTAATGGCGTGAGCCACCGTACCTGGTCATGTTTTTATTTTTTCAAAAAATTCATTTGCAGAGTTTAAAAAGTATCTTTTAAGAGTTCTTATGGTATTTATGTTTGCAAATTTCATTTCCCATTCTGTTGCTTGCCTTTTCACTCTCAGTGAGTTACTTTATGATTTCAAATCCTTATTTTTTATGTTATTTTATTACTATTTATTAACCTATTTATCTTATTTATTAGCCTTCAATGATTAGTTTTTGAATCTTTTTTTAAATCTTAAGGCCATAGAAGTGTCCTCTATATTATTTTTTAAACCTGTACTGTTTTATGTTACACGTTGGCTTCTATATGAAATAATTTTTGTGTATATTGTGTGGTTGGATGTTAATATTCATTTTTCTTTGTACGGATGTATGAAAGACAGCACAATTTATTGAAAATAAATCTTTTCATCACTGTACTGAAGCACTTTTTTTTCACAAATCAGCTAAATATATTACTGTGTGGTTCTCTTTATGAGCTCTCTATTCTGTTTCATTGAAATATCTATACTTGCACATTTTCCATGTCATAATTAATATACATTTATAAAAACTTTATATCTAATAGTGTAAGTCTTCACATTATATTTTTTCTTCAAAGTTATTTATACACTGTGTTTTCATTTGCATTTTATAGTCAGTTTTTCAGTTGCCACCAAATATAATGCAGACAAATTACGCTATTACTAATCACAATATTGTGATTTTCAGTGTATTACAAATATAGATTTATTTAAAATACTGAATCTTTCTTCTAATACCAGGAATGACATAGGAACATGGTTCATCTTTATTTCTGTTGAATGTCTTTAATTTCTCTCAATAAAATTTCACAATTTTCAGTAAAGGGATTGCATATAATATGTTATTTTTATATTAGGAATTCAATGTTTCTTTCTGGAAACATTTCAAATTTTTAATATTTTATTTGATTTAGACTCACTACATTTGGAAAGTTTTAATTATAATTTTATTTTTAATAGATATGGAGCTATTCAGATTTGCTATTTATTATTGTGTCATTATTAATGATTTTCTAGAAATGTTATCTATTTCATCAAATTATTTCAAAATTTTTGACTTAACATTACTTACTGAATTCTCTTTTTCTCTCTCATGACTATAGAATCCATAATGATTTCCTTGTTATTATTCATATTTGGAATTTGTGTATACTCTTTTTTTAATTTCTTGTGTAATCATGGTATATTTTTATCTGTCTTTTCGTAGTAACTTTGGCTTTTGTTGATTTCATTTATTTTGTGATTGTTTCCTTTTCTCCTGCTTCTTATGTATCTTCTCTTTTCTAATTCTTTGGATTTAATTTGACATTACATTTTAAATTTTTTAGATTGATGATTAGATTATTAATTTTCAAGCTTTACTTTTTTTAACATATTTATGTAACCATATATATTTATCTCCAAACTGTGGTTTGCCTAAGTCTCCCAACTTTTAACAAGCAGTATTTTTACTTTTGTTATTATTAAATTCAAAATATATTTTAATATTCATTGTAATTACTTTTTTGATCCATGAATAACTTAGAAATATGATGCTTAATTTCCAAACATTTGTACACTTTCAAAGTCTTGCCATAGATTTCCAGGTCAATAAAATTGTTGTACAAAAACACTGTCAAAGATTTCAAATTTTTGGTATTTATAGATTGTTGTTTGGGGCCTAACCTCAGCCTATATCTATCTATCTATCTATCTATCTATCTATCTATCTATCTATCTATCTATCTGTTTTCCTATCTATCTATCATCTCTCTACCTAGATAGACAGAGATATCTATTGACATCTACGGTAAATTTTGAAACATGTTCCAAATACACTACAATAAATGTGTGTTTTGCTATTTTTGGGTACAGTTTTTATGTCAAAGTATTTAATCTTACTGCTTTAAATTTCTGTATTATTATTGATATTTTGTATCCTTTTTGCTATCAGGTATCAAAAAAGGTATATTAAAGTCTTCATGATTGAAGATGTACCTATTGCTCCTTTTAGTTCTATAAATCATGCATGTGTGTTAACTGTGTGTGCGTGAATATAAATACACAAGTTTGACAACTTCCTCAATAATTGATTCTTTTATGTGGATGATGTATACATCTTCCTCTCAGGTAATAATTTCTGCCTTAAAATCTCTGTTGTCTGATATAAACATAGCTAAACAAATTTTCATTTGGCTTGTGTTTGATTATCTTTTATATACATATATGAAAGATTTTTAAATTAAGATGGTTCTATAGATAGAAGATAGAAGATAGTAGATATCTTCCACAGATACAGATATGTATATGTGTATATATAGATATATTAATATTTATATCTATATATAAATGTATATATGTAGATATCTATATATGTATATCTACATATATATCTACATACCAATATATCTCTATGTATGTATATGATATCTATATAAATGTAGGTAGATATACATATGCATGTATATACATATATACATAGATACCTATGTATATATCTATCTATACACATATATACAGGTAGATATATACATATCTATATACATGTAGAAATATAGATGTAGATATAAATATATATCTATATGTGTACAGAGAGATGTGTAGACATATATAGATATATGGATAGATAGATAGGTCTATATAGAGAACTATCTATATCTAGATAGAGATATCTCTCAATAGATATCTCTACCTATCTAGCTGTAGATAGATTAGCTATCTCATCTATCTATAAAACTATCTTAAAACCATCCTAATTTAAAAATCAAGATTCATCTTAATTCAAAAATCTTAATTTAACAGTTAATAACCATCTTTATTTTGTGATTCATATACACCATGGAATACTAGGCAGCCATAAAAAAGAGTGAGATCACGTCCTTTGCAGGAACACGGAGGGAGCTGGATGGAGGTCTTCATCCTTAGCAAACTAATGCAAGAACAGAAAACAAAATACTGCATGTTCTCATTTACAAGTGGGAGCTAAATTATGAGAACACATGAACACATAGAGGGAAACAACAGTCACTGGGGCCTCTGGGAAGCTGGAGGGTGGGAGGAAGCAGAAGGTCAGGAAAAACAACTAATGGGTACTAGGCTTAATAGCTGGGTGGTGAAATAATCTGCACAACAAACCTCTGTGACACTAGCTTACCTACATAACAAACCTACACATGTGCCATTGACCTGAAAATAAAAGTTAAAAAAATGATAAAAAATACGTAAGTAAAAATCTTTAACCAACACAAAATGGTTCATCCCAAGAATCATCTTAATTTAAAAATCTTTACATCTTAAGAAGCTACATGGGAGGCTGAGGCAGGAGACTCGCTTGAACCTGGGAGGTGGGGTTGCAGTGAGGCGAGATTGTGCCATTGCACTCTAGCCCAGGTGACTGTGTGAGACTCTGTCTCAACAACAACAACAACAACAACAACAACAAACAAAACAAAACAAAGCAACTTTGCTGCTTAGAGTATAATATCCATTTACATTTAATGTGGTGAATGAAAAATTTGGTTGTCATTTACCACCCTACAATTGAATTTTTAATTCCTCCACATATTCTATTTGCCTTTCTCAACTAATACTTTATAGATAAAAGGGCTTACAGAAAGCAAATATATGACTCAATATTCCAATAAAAGTGCTTGAAATAATTTATATTGAGCACATTATCCTTCTTTCTTAAAAATCTTAAGCTATACACATTACATAGCTAGGGACTGATGAGAATCTAGTACTAAATAACCATTATTTCAAAGGCATGGATAGAATGCTTTCCAGGTAAGGAGTGTTTCCATACTCCCCTTCCATACATTTTCAAGCCATTGCATAACAAATATGGAATTTTATAGAGAGCAGTGAATTTATATCCTTTAATATTTTCTCACTTTAGAAATTTAGTCTTGGAATGATATAAATTCTGTAAACAGACTATCATGCTACATTTATGGAGAATTATATTAAGGTGCCTATTTTTAAGACAAGAATAAAAAATATGTTTTTGTTCTAATAATAGAAATGGACAAGCAGAATTCTGGCTTATAATAATGAGAACATACTATCCCCTAGTTTGAAATAAGTTAGATAATTTAACTTTCTCACATTATCTTGAAGTTAATACATCATTCGTATTGAATGTATCAGTGCGCTACATGAAGTGGTACATTTGGTATCATCCCTTTTATCCTCCAAATAAAATGATTCAGTGGTTTAAAACACTTCTTTCCATATCCTGGAGTTTTGCATAGCAAAAGAAGCATGCACTTTGAGGAAAATGTAGCTTTTAATTTTTTGTATTTTAAATATTATGGGTACAAAATATTTGTATATAATTATGGAGTACATGTGATGTTTCAGTACCTCATTTTTGATCCCAGATCTTCCTTGAATTTTTTGTCCAATTTGCATTGCATTATTTAAGTTTGAAAAGGAGTAATGATGTTTAGTATATACTGTTATAAAATAACTGATTCAAAAGATGTAAAGTATCTGATACTTACTGTGTCCAAATATGATTTTTAAGCAAATGTTCCTAACAATACATAAATAATAACATGGAATAAAATAAATTCATATAAATTTATGATAATAATTTTACTGAAATTAAAAATGTTATGTGCAAACAGATGGTATACGACACTTGGCATGTAATAATGCAATTAAGTCCAATTGAATATATTGTTTGATTTATTTCCGCAATCTTTGATAGATGTATTGTAGACCAAAACGTCAAAAACCATAAGTAGCCTGTATAATGCCTTTTTTATTTGCTGTAATGTTTTAATATAAATATATAAAAGAGCATCTTAAATTATTTAAATAAGTCAATTATTTTATATGTGGATTTAGTATTAAAACATGTATATTCTTTTGCACAATAAGCTTTTTTAAGTGTCAGAAATTATATACTTATATAGTGACTTTTGTTCACAAAGTAGTTAGTTGTAGGTATATACAACATACTTGAAAAATATTTTTGTCGACATTGGATGCATTTTTGTCTTATAGACTCTTAAAAATGTTAACAAGCCAACACGTGAGCATACTGAAGTATTTTTAATCATCTTTTCTACTGTTGATAATGAGCTGGTTGATATAAAGTCATTAAAGTGGCAATTCAACAAATATTTTCTAGGGCATAACAAATGTCATTAACTTGCTAGTCTGTCATGCTGTTGCAAAGCTAAAGCCACATTCATTAGTGTTTTTTGTTGTTGTTTGTAGTGGTGGTTGGTTTGTTTTGTTACATGAAGTGGCCCACTTCTTGTATTAAATTATTTATTCTTTCTGAGAATGTTTAATCAGAACGTAATAAAACCTTTTTAAAATGGTTTAAACATTTATTCCCACAGGTGGGAATTGAACAATGAGAACACTTGGATACATGGCGGGGAACATCACACCCCAGGGCCTGTCGGCGGGTGGGGAGCTGGGGGAGGGATAGCATTAGGAGAAATACCTAATGTAAATGATGAGTTAATGGGTGCAGCAAACCAACATGGCACATGTGTACCTATGTAACAAACCTGCGCATGTGCACATGTACCCCAGAACTTAAAGTACAATAAAAAATATATATTTATTTCTACTGAACAAAATGTCTATATATTAGATGGCCTAGGACTGGTAGGGGGCTCTAATCCAGGGGATTGTTGATAAACTCAGACAACTTCTATAATTTTTACATTGTTACTCTTAAAGTCTTGCCATTGCCTGATTGTCTCAATATTGGAAAATAACATGTCAACATTCAGTGTAATAAAGTGGAAGAAAAAATGGGCCAATATTCCATTTAATTAAAGACACTGAAAAGAAAGTGTATGTATTACTTCTACTCATATCTTAATGTTCATCATGTTGTCACCAAGCCAGATAGAACCATATACTGGGGAATGTAATGTTTATCTGAGAAACCAAATGCCTAAATACAAATTTTAGTATTATGAAGTAAGAGGAAATAAATATGGGGGATTTTCTAGTTTTCTCTATTGGATATAAATTGCAAGATTTGGCCACTTTAAAAAATATTAATATTTACTAATTTTTCATCAATTCAAATATCATACCATAGAGAGCAATTTAATCAAATTAGATAACAGTTCTAAATATAAAATTTAACTGTACATCTTCTGGAAGCCAAAAAATGAGAAATTATTTGTGGCTTTTAGCTAGACAAAGATTTCTTAGATGTGGCCCAAAGAACAACCTAGAGAACAAGCAAAAAAAACAATTACAACAACAATAAACATGACTTCATAAAAACAAAAAGTTCTATATTTCTACTCTACATGACTCAAACTAGGAATAGACATTTCCAAATTATGTCTGATAAAGGTTGTGTATCCAAAATATGTAAACTCAATTATAAGGCAAATTACACACCAATAATAAACAATAAGGAAAAGAATATATTTGAACACACACTTTGCCAGAGGAAATTCAGAGACAGCAAATAATCACATCGAAAGATGTTCAATAGCTTTAGCCATTGGAGAAATACAAATTAAATGAGATGCCATTCCACACCTACTAGAATAAATACAATTAAAAATACTCATCATCTTGTGTGTTGGTGCTGATTTAGAAAAACTGTAATTCTCAAATACTGATGGTAGGAAAGTAAATGATGCAGCCACTCTGGGGAAAAAATAGACTGTTTCTTACAAAGTTAAATAGACACCCGCCATTTTACCTACTTATTCTTCTGTTGCTCTTTAAGCAGAAAACGGTACAGCATATATACATACAAGAATGTGTTTACAAGTGTCCATGGCAAACTTATTTATAATAACACTAAACTGTAAACAACCCAAAGTTTATGAATAAATAAATCCAACACGTTATGCTCATAACGTGAGATATAACTTCACACACACACATAAAACCATATTTTCAACAAATGGTGCTGGAACAATTGGACATCCACATCCAAAAAAAGAATCTAGACACTGTGTTTACACAATATACAAGAATGGATAATAGATTTAAATATAAAAATGCGAGACTATAGAAGAATGTTATAAATTGAATTTTATAAAAATTAGTACTTCTGCTCTAAGAGAGACATAGTTTATATTTAAAAAACAAGCCAAGACTGGGAGACAATATTTACAAAACATGTATCCAATTAAGAACTGGTATGAGCATTACACAGAACTCTTAAAACTCAAAAAGAAAAAAAAGATAAATAATCCAGTTAAAAAGTGGGCAGGAGATCTGAACAGACATTTCACCAAGGAAAACATATTGATGGCAAATAAGCAAATGAAATATGCTCAACATTATATATTATTAGACAATTGCTCACTAGAACAAGATACCACTGCATGCCTACTAAAATGGCTAAAATCTAAAACACAGACAACACTAAATCATGTTAAGGATAAAGAGCAAGGGAAACTCATTTATTGCTTGTGGGAATGCAAAATGGCACAGCCACGTCAGAGGATAGCTTTGCAGTTTCCTACAAAGTTAAATGTAGTCTTACCACATGGACCAGTAACTTCACTCCTATCCAAATGAGTCAAAAATATTTCTACACAAAAATGTCACATGACTCCTTAAAACAGCTTTTCTCATAACAAAACTTGGTAGCTACCAAGATGCCCCCAACACGTGAGTGATGGTTCAATAAACTGGCATATCTATAAAATGGGATATTCAGTGATAAAAGAATAAGCTATCAAGCCATACAAAATATGCAAGAACCTAGAATGCATATAACTTAGTGAAAGAAGCTAATCTGAAGAGGCTGTATACTGTATAATTCCAATGATACAACATTCTTAAAAAGGCGAAAATCTGTAAAAAGATCAGAATTTCCAGTAGTCTCCAAGGGAGGGATGAATAAATCAAGCACAGAAATATTTAAGAAAGTAAAACTATTCTTATAATACCGTAGTAGTGGATACATGACATATGCATTTGTCCAAACCTATGAAATGTATAATGCCAAGAGTGAACCCTAATATAAAACTAATATATGGCCTTTCACTTATAATAATATGTCAATACTGATGCATCAATTATAACAAAGGTACCACACTAATGCAAGATATTAATCATAAAGAATATGGAGGGTAGAAGAAAGTGTATGGAAATTCTCTGTGCTTTGTTAGTTTTTTCTATAAATCTAAAATTGTTCTAAAAATAAAATCTATTAATTTAAAAAAGAATGAACTATTGTTACCACTATCAACATAGGTGAAAGTCAGAGTAGTTATGTTGAGTGCAAAAGACAGACAAAAAAGAATAGATTTTTGTGTGATTACATTTACATAAAATTCTACCAAGTGTAAACCATTCTGTAGTATCAGAAATAGATTAGTAGTTGCATGGAGATTGAGTAGGGAAGAGGGGAAGAAACGATTACTAAAGACACAAAGTAACTTTGGGGAAATGAATATGTTCATTACCTTGATCGCCATGGTGTTTTCTCATGTACCAATATGCCAAAACTTTAAAAATAATATACACTGGATATGTTCAGTTTATGTCAATTACACTTCAATGAAAAACATTTAAAAATATTATTATGTATGTTAATTTTATATTTATGCAGAGCTATTATTATTCTCTTTCTGCCATATATACCTTTTGGCATAGTGTAAAGATATATAAACATAGTATATAAATATGGTATTTGTAATATTCTTATTCATATGCAAAATATAGTTTACATTTAATTTCTTTAACTTTTCTTCTATTTTCTGTATCCTCCAGACATTAACATTGAGAACTTCATATACAATTACATATTTAAAAATGAGTCATATCTAGTATAATACAAAATTTCAGCAATGTAACATGACAGGAACAAAATATAAATGAAGTTGCTTTATATAGATTCATTTTTCTCATTAAAACATTTCATAGAATAAATCACTTATTCAAAAGTATTAACATAGATATTTAAGTGCACTATGAAAAAACAGAATCAAGAAATGGATACCATATTGATACTAGATGATATGTTAAAATATATTGAATAATTTGGTAGTTTTTCAAAAGTAACTCACACATGCCACATATTAATAATGTATATATTTATTTTTAGGAACTCCTTTTAGATAACTATTAGGTATGTAGTTTTATGCTGAGTTTTATGAGAAATACAATAAGCATATCATTTTATGTCAGAAATAAAGAGTATATTTGTTCCTAGGTTATTTTCAATAGCTGTCAAAATGTTTCAACATCTTTTAAAACTCAAGAAAATGAGGAAGAAATATAGAAATGTTCCTCGGTTAATTGTTTTTATATCTTTATCTTATTCTTTCTATTCTTAATTATATTAATTCTTCCCAATGGCTTATTTAAAAATGGGTCTTCAATTGTCTTTCATTAAAATTCTATGGGGTCTCATTACCTGTAAGAAGGTTTTATTTTACACGAAGTATTTTTCTGTTATCTAAAAGGAAAATAAAGCTCTGGGCTAAAGAAATAACTTTTTTTTTTATTTTCCCTATTGGGAAGTAGTTGAATATATACATTGCTGTATTCAGCTAAAACATATTAGAATGTGCTTTTATTTACAATAAAAATGAAATAAGGCTGTGTTACACTGGCAAGCTGTAATGGGAAATGTATTTGTCACCCTAGGCAAACTGAAAAGGCAGGTGTATTGAATTCAGTAATGCTGAGTAATTAAGCCTTCACTTATAACCTTTATATTAGAGAATTCAACTTAATAAGTTAAGTCATTTTCCAAGTGTTTGTTAATGTATCAAAAGGATTTATACGTTTCACAAACGGGGACTCAGGCTAAGCTAAAGATTTATAAACACAATCAATTCACTAGAGAAAGAATTTTAAGCTTGTTTTTCTTGCTTTTCCAAACCTAATACTTTCATGGAAGAAACTAAAGGCAATATTATAAAATAGATGAAAGTGCAGGATAATTACCTTAAGTGACATTGGGAAGCCTAGAGCTCACCTGGTCCACAATATTTGATAATCCATGTCACCCCTGGTTTACTTCCACAGTTCCCTTAAGAGCTGTCTGAATACCACAATCTTAGTATATTATATTTTGTAAGGAAACCTGCTCACTCAAGAACATCTTCTGTGAGAGCCAATCCATTTAGCATGTTAGAAAGTTTCCTTCCATGTATGATTCAAGCCCACCTTGTCCAGTGGATTGGACAATGAATGAACACTTGATTTAGGTGGAAGTTATCCATTTATTGGTTGAAAATCAATAAGCCTCTTTCACTTGAGAATTCCAATTGAGATGAAGAATATAATAGGGACGCATACTGGATGAGCAAAGCCATATGGCCTCCATAATGTTATAAAGAATAATATGACTGAGCCACAGGCAAGCAATAGAGATACAAAGAGTACAAGAGTAAGGGAACAAATGTTGCCCTCGAGTGAGAGAAATTGATAAAAAGCCACTGCCTCGATGCTGGACAGTTTCTTAGTTCTATGTTCAGCCTTTACTTTCTGCCCTTGGATTCTACACTGTACATTTCAAGTTTATTTACAAGTGGTTTTGACTACAGAAAAAGCAAGTGTGCCATTATGCCATTTTTGACATATTTTGGGAGAAATAAAGTAAAAACTATTCTTTTCTTTTCTTTTTATTTTCTTTTTTCTTTTTTATTTATTTATTTATTTTTTGAGATGGAGTTTCTCTCTTGTTGCCCAGGCTGGAGTGCAATGGCACGATCTTGGCTCACTGCAAACTCCGTCCCCCGGGTTGAGGCGATTATCCTGCCTCAGCCTCCCGAGTAGCTGGGAATACAGGCTTGTGCCAACACGCCAAGCTAATTTTTTTATTTTTAATAGAGGTGGGGTTTCACCTTGTTGGCCAGGCTGGTCTCGAACTCCAGATCTCAGGTGATCCACCCACCTCAGACTCCCAAAGTGCTTGGATTACAGGCGTGAGCCACCGCACTCATCCATAAAAACTATTAAGAGAGTTTTTCAGAGTAGTTTCTGAGTTACATGTAAAAACAAGATAAAAAATTTTACTAACAGCTCTGCAGCTTTCAAAATTAAGCAGTCAGATTTCTATGTGGCTAAGAATTTCCAGCAGTCTCCTCCATTAGAATTTGCCATGCCCAAAATGTCCCATGCTGTACAGTTAAATGATTGATGTTTGAGTAATATTCAGTTTGAAAGTTGACTTTAAATGTTTCCTTGAGGGGAAAACATGCTTAGCATTTCTTTATAAAATTATCCAAGCTTTCCTCTCATTTCTATGTTCAAACTCAATGCATGAGTTAAAGCATCTTAAGGCTTCCTTTTAAGCAATTTATATATTTGCCCTAAGGTTTCAACTAGTCCTAATCTCAGAGGATCACTTCATTGGAAAAGTTGTACAAAAGTAAAATGAAATGGAGATTAACTTTACTAAATTGTCATGTTGAGCTTCGTGATAAATTTAGTTACAAAGATATTATTCATATTGGAATTAACTGCAAATTTCCTAGGTATGTAAATGAAAGTGAGTGAAATTACTATATAAACCTAGAGTTATGACCATCAAAATACATGATATAGCAATATGATAATTTAATGTTGACTTAGGGAGTAATAAATCAGATATTTTAGTCAACAAACTGTGATTTTTAATTATAGCATAAGAATTATAAATTAATATTTAGAAGTAATTGTTTCTTAATAAATAATGAGTTGACAAAAATAATAGTTGAAAAATAAAATTATATAGGATGATTATATTGTGAAAATTTACATTAAAAATTAAAATAAACAAATCACCTTTGGAAACTACTTTTATTTAAAATATCAGGAGTCCAGAAAATTGCAACTTTTCTTAATCTACATAATCATTTTTACATGAAATTTTAATTCCAAAGCCATTGCAAAGATTTATTTTCTTAATAACCATAGTATTAAGTATCAAACAGCTTCTGTAAAAGTATAATAGATTATAAACATATACTAGATGTATTGTTTTCTGCATTTATGCATGAACAATAAGATTTTTAAAATTTTTGACTTATCTGTGGAAATATGATAGAGACAATTGTATGGTTTGGTTTAAGGATTATTCATTTCTGCACTTAGATGAGGTAATTTTCTCTTTCTAGATAAACTCTAATTCCACTTTTTTCATACAGTACACACATATACATGCATATATATGTTTCTGTTAAACAACAGTAGTAAGATTTTAACAAATTATTTACCTGCCTTTCTGAAAAGTGTCTGTTAATGTCATTATGAGCCTATAAGGGAAGAAAGGGACTATATTACAAAGGGACAGAAATGATCCAGGAGAGGATGAATACAACTGGATTCTACAATTACTGGGCTATTGGGTATTGGGATATAGATTGGGATAAAAGAGTATACCCCTATCAGAGCACTGTCAGTTTCACTATTGATATGGTACAAACACATGATAGGATGATTCGTAGCATCAAGGAAAAAGTGATGGCCTCAGGTGAGGTTGCAATGTCAAATTTCCCATGGAAGCTGACAGAAGATGCACATGTCACAAAGAAAATAATATGTAGAATACTTAAAATCTACTCTCAATAATTTTTAAGTTATTTTAAATTATTTTAAATTATATACTGTTGTTATTAAATATAGTCACTATTTCCATAGTCACTATAACTACAGTCACTATAGATCTATTACATAATGTACAATAGATCTCTGAAACTTATTTCTCCTGTCAACTGAAATTTTGTTTCCTTTGACCAACATTGAGATAGCAACTTTTATCACAATTTAAAAATTCTAGTAACATAAAACAATATAATTTTACAACAAGGAAAAGGCATTTCTTGAAAGTTAATTCACAAAGTTGCATGAATTGCTAAACAAAACAATTTCAATAACCAAAACAGCTCTAGATATCTCAGGCAGAATGAATTCAAAGAAAATGACTGCACATATTACTTCTCGACATTAGCTTCACAGTGGAATTTCCTGGGGCAATTTTTTAAAGAAACGATTGCCTACGTATCATGTCCAGATTCTGATTTATTTGTTATTAGATATGGCCTGGACATCGCTCTACTCCTGACGTCCCTGCTCAAGAATCAACCTCCAGGAAGAGAGACTGGGACTCACTGATTTTGGTGCTATTCAGTTGAACTATGTCCTTACTGATTTTCCACCTACTAGTTCTATTCATTATTGATAGAGAGATGTTAACATCTCCAATTATAATAGTGCATTTATCTGTCTGTTCTTGCAATTCTGTTTTCACCTCATGTGTTTTTGACAGCCTGTTACAGGCAAACACATTAAGGATTGTTATGCTTTCTTGGAAAATTAAACCCTTTGTTACTATGTAATACATCTTTGTATCCCCCTATAATTGTTCTTTCTCTGAAGTCTTTTTGTTAGAAATCAATATATTAATCCAGCTTTCTTTTAATTACTATTCTCGTGTTATATGTTTTTCAAAGTTAACTCTCAAGCTTGTCCACAATTAGCTTCCAGAAATTATTCAACTACATATTAAAGTTTTCCACTCCATTACTAACTCCTATGGGGGCTCCTGGGCTTTTGCTCCACTAAGCTACAATTCTTTGCATTTTCCCATCTCTCTAATTTAGTGGGAATTTAGGGTGGGGGCAGCAGTTTGTTCTGTGACCTCAGTCCTCTAATGGATCTAAAATCAGTTGTTGATAGTCTGTTTGTACAGCATTTTTCTTGTTGTAGGGATGGGAGTGATGACTTCCAAGTTTCTTACATGCTCGAATAACTGACTTTTTTTTAATGTATACTCACCCCCACGATGGTAGAAGAATGCTATAATTTTTGGATACACAAAACTAAAATACTAGGAGAGGGAATTTTTCACAGGAAAGATAGTTGCTACTGAAAAAAAAAGATAAAGTCTTCTCTGCTATCTCTGCTAGACTCTCTAAACTCTTCCTGTCTCTGGAGTCCAGACAGACAAGGCTTTTAGTTTTGAGCTTGCACTATGCTTTTATCTTAAAGACTTTGCCTACTATGTCCTTTCTGCTGAGAAAGCATCTTATCCCCTCCATTACCTAGTTAACATCAAATATAAAATCATACCTCTTACTAAAGGCCAAGTACCACCTCTAGAAGAAGTCTTCCCTAAGAACAGCCTACATACAGTTAATTCTGTGAGCCCTTTTCTTATATCCTTCGAATACCCTTCCTTCACATTACTCTTTCTTCACAGCCTTTAGCCAGACAATATATTACAGGAAAACAGAGAGAACATGATTTTGCCCTTCACTCTTACCTTTGCCTAGCCTAGTGCCTGGCAAATAATAGATTCTCGTCATATATTTTTTGAATGAATTAATAAATCCAAGTAAAATAATTGATGTTTTGGAATTATCTAAGATTGTTAAAATCAGTTAAATATAGTTAATGTGAAGAAAAAACAGTAAAAAATTAATGTAATATACACGCTGATGTTACTATTTTAGAAAAAACAATAATTTACAAATTCCTTTCAATAATTCAATTAACATTTAAGAGATTTGATTGAAGACAAATCTATGACTGCTTTTTCTGTAAATAAAAGGTAATCTTTGTAATAAGCAAAAATGAATTAACATAACAAATATTAATTTACAGATAGACAAAAAGTGATTGTTTTCTAGATGAAAAGAGGATTATTAATAGTTGGCATAAGAAATCAAAAGTTAGTTCAACAATTAGTCATATGGAAATGTCAAATATTGACATTAATGTGGTAAAGAAAACAAGAGTTTCTGCAAATAACCTCCCATCTCTGATGTGAGTCTTTCACATCATTCTATAGTTCAACTGGTTCTTAATAACTCAAAAACGGGAAAGATAAAATGCATCATTTTGTTTTACTACCCAGATCCCTCCTGTAGCTGTCATACAGAGTGTGATTTATGACTTGTAAGTTGTGCTATGGAGCTTGACAAGTAACTTTGATTTCATTTAATATTTTCTTTAAACCATCTTAGATCTTCTCTTTGACAAGAATTTCTATTAGTGTTCTCAAAATGTAAAATGGGTAACTTAATAAGAACAAAAGTTTTACCCTAAGATATATTTGCATTATCTACATACTCGCAGTTAAATCTTAACAGTTCAAATATACCCATTTGTAATAGAATCTAACAGTTTTCCTCTTGAATTTTTTTAGACACCAGAAATTTTTGGTCCTAATAAATAATGTTTAGCTTCCTAGTCACAAACCAAACAGAAAGCAAATTTCATCAGTTTAGAATGGTTAAAACCAACATAGCTGCAATATTTTTATTTTTGTTTTAAAATTTTGTTTAGTCAATCAGTAAATCAGAGTTGACCATTATGTAATCCACAGACCTTGAAATAACAGAGATAAGTTTCTCCGCAGATAAATATCTATATATGGTTTTAAGATGAGTAGAAATTCTCCTGAAGATCATAAAGAAAAAGTATGTCATATAATATAGTAAATAAAAATAATAATAGTTATTAATTTTTTCTACTTATTATGTTCCAGAATCTGTACTAAGTATTTTAGAGGATTATTTTATTTAATTCACACAATAATCCCTTGAGAAATATATAATTATTATCTTTAATTCACAGTTATTGAAAATGAGACACAAAGAGGTTAAGAATTTTGTCCAAGGTCAGGAAGCTAGCGTGACTTAGCAAGGGTGTAATTAAGAAAAAATATGTCTTTCTTATCTTATGGGAAATTTGGAAAAGCAAATATCTAGATTGTCTTTTTAATAAAACAATAAAATATAAAATGTGAGTCTCTCTTAAAGCAGGGATTCAACTTTAATGAAATTGAAACAATACACAATCCTTTGTTGTTCAGGCTCTTTATTATTATTATCTCTGCTGACAGCAAAAGCTAAGAATAGGAAATATTTCTGACCCAAGTTGGTAAATTATGAATCAACCGGCTAAATAATCAGAATAAACTAACAAGTGGAACTAAATGTAATTATTCTATATTATATATATAATTTAAACAATTTCTTATTGTTATAATTTTACTAAGATTCTACCAGTTTCAACTGAATTATAACATTTTAAATCCAAACTTAATGAAAGAAGTTGGCATGAGATGTTTTCATAGGAAATAGTGATAATTCATATTATTTTTAATTAATTGTAAATGAGATGTATTATTTCTGTATTTCATTTTCCTTCTAAAAGTTATTTTTAAAGTTTTAGTTTTTCTGAAGTTGATAGCTATTACTAACTATTTAGGGCAAAGTTTTTTGAGATACATTAATTTATAAAATTATGAAGAAACTAAAGTAGTGAAAGTTTCTAAAAAGATAATAAAGTCATTGTCTCTATGTTATATTAGAAGATGAGAATGTGAATGCAGATCATTTTGACTCTTAGAGTTTGTGTTTTCAGCAAATATTACCTGAATATTGATATATAAATTAGAATTCCCCAAAGGAAAACATTTAACAATGTTAAAATTAATAAAATCATTAACTTATATACGTGTCCCTAGCATTAGGACAATCCCCAGTGGATTCAATAGAGCATCTGCAGTTTTGTTGAACAAAGGTTTCTGCAATGTAGACTCATGGTGTGAGCTTCCTGGGTCACATTCTTTGTTCCTTCTTGGTGCTTTGGGAGACATTTGTAAAAGAGCTCCTTTAGTAGAAGGACTGAGTTGTATCACCCTGAGAATTTAAGTTTCTATGTGAGAATCAAATTCACTTTAGTATAGGGATTTAGTAGGTTTCCCTAGACTTATTAACAAAATACTAATATGACATGAAAATGCATACTTTGTCTTACAATAATCCAGTTAAGACATTATTTTTGTATAGCAAAATTCTTTACTAAACACTAGTTGCAAATCAAGTGAAATTGCATTGGCAAGAGGTGATCATACTGCTCTGCTCTCCTACTCCTGCTGTTTCCTCCTACCCCAGCTGAAAATTCTTGCTGCAAATGTCCTTTTATAGGAGACTTTGACCCCAGGGTATAGAAAGGGAAAGGAAAAGGTCAGATATATATGTCTTGTCTATAACTTAAATCTAATGGTAGCACAAAAGCCTGAAAGGATTGATTTTTAGAGGGCGTTGGTAGGAAACTCTTTGCTCTGCTATCATCTGTTTTAAGCTACTTTTATACATTATTTTTTTCAGCTTCTACTCTGCTACTATTCAACTGCAAATGCAATTTGTTATATTGTACATTTCAACACCATGAACAATATCTTAATTATTATTGAAATGTATTACAAGTTCATAAAGAAAGCAGCATTTTGTTTCTTCAGTCATCTACTTTGGATGAAAAGTATTATTTAGAAAAGAATAAATGGGAAAAATGATACATTAAAAATAAAAATTGCATATTAAATTTTTAGATCAACTAAATCAATGTTAAGCATTTTCATGGACCTTTATAACCAAAATAAATAAACATTTAAAGACAGATGATTTAACTCTGTATTTTGTTTCTCAAAAATGTTGGAATATGTGTTTTAGATAATGTATATATTTCTGTTATTGAAAAGTTTTCAATAGTCAACTGACTTCATACGTAACTTTTTGCAAATAGTAATACCATTTTAAACTTATTCAAGGATTTGAGGTGTTCTTAAATATTATTTTATAACTTACTTTACTCCCTTAAAGTAAATATTTATGGCCTCTGTAAGCCATTGTACAGTTGGTATAGCATAGTATTCGGATTGTCCTTTGTAATATTTTATAGTATTCACATTTGTATTTAATCACAAATTTGATACAATTTAATGAAACCTTCAATACATTTACAAACAGAGCACTGCCGAGACTTTATACAATGGAATAAAATAACCAAATGTGCTGACAGCATTCTTCCACTCAAAGAGGTATATATATTTTTTATTCTATTTAATTTTTTAACAAATTTTATTTTTTGCATCCAATGGTGGGGAAAATTACTAAAAGTGTGATTAAGGCTATTATAAGATACATAAACTGTATGACACAAGCATTCTCAACTCAACTTTACACTCCACATTGTTTATGAACTTAGTATGCCAGCTTTTTAAGTGTGGTGGGATCTGGTATTCCACACTTACATGTCTCTTAATCCCAGTCTTGTGCTGATGCCTAGATGAACTGAAGCAGGGACGGATTTTTCTCTTACATGGAAACATGAATATATTCCAAACTGGAGTGAGCTCTCACAAGAAGTTCGCCTATGGTAATTACTTTGTGCCTTGTAATGGGTCACACAGTATCTTCAAAAAGTGTGTCGGAGTCCTAGACCCTCTCCCATCCTAGTACCTGTAAATGTCACCTTATTTTGAAATAGGAGCTTTACAGATATAATAAAGTTAAAGATCTCAGGGTGAGATCATCCTGAATTTAGAGTGAGTCATGGATATTTGGGACACAGAAACACAAGCAAGGTCATGTGAAGATAGAGACAAAGGTTAGAGTTGTGCTGTCACAAGCCAAGGAGTACCAGGAGCCACCTGAAACTAGAAGAGGCAAGGAAGGATTCTTCCCTAGAGCCACCAGAGGAAGTAAGGCCCTGCATCCACCTTTGCTATAATTGAGAGATTTGTATTATTATTATTATTATTATTATTATTATTATTATTATTTTAAGCCACAAATTTTGTAGCAATTTCTTTTGGCAGCACTAGGAAACTAGTTAATGCCTCTATTATTTAGTTGAACAAAGAACACTATTAAGTATTTTTAAGACAATGTATATCAATGTTGATTATGGTAAGCATACAGTTTATAATCATATAAGTTTCTATGTAAAATTTCACGTTATTATATTGATTTTGTTTTGTTTTAATCATACAAGACTTGCTTGGATGTGGTACCATTGAATACCATCCCCATTCCCTCCTGTCCCACAGCTTTTTGAAATTTATGGGGCTTTGTTCCAGACTGAATATTTCTTTTCCCTCAAATTTCATATGTTAAAGCCTTACCCCACACTGTGACAGTATTGGGAAGTGAGGTCTTTGAGAATTAATTAGGTTTAGACAAAGTCATGAGTGTAGGGCCCTCATCAGTGGAATTAGTGTCCTTATGAGAACAGGAAGAGAGTCTATAGAGTGCTCTCTCTCTCTCTCTCTCTCTCTCTCTCTGTCTATCTGCTATGTGAGGATATAGCAAGCTGGGAAGAAGACCTCACCAGGAAACAAATTTGCTAGCACCTTAATCTTGCACTTTCCAGCTTCTACAATTGTGAGAAATAAATGTCTGCTGTGTAAGCCATCCAGTCCATGATATTTTGTTATAGAAGCCTGGACTGACTGATATAGGCTGGAACATGCTGGAGAGATGGTACAAAATCTAATTTTAGAAAAATATTTTAAGTTGTAAGATCTGAAGCAAAAATCACTTAAATATACCATTTACATTAACCAAATTACTCCATTTACAGTATCAAATTAAGGAAATTTATGTTTTATTCAAGCCTTTTAAAATCAGCACACCCACCTTGCAGAGGTAATTAATAACCCATGATTATTAATTATGTTTGCCAATTTAATTTTCATCTAGTATTACTTGCAGGGAAAGTTTGAAATTGATAAATTATCTTCCTTTTGAGATATCACTTGTATAACTAAAGGCTACCTATAATTTCTAATTGTTACGTTTTAATGCAACTTTAAACTTCTAAGAAAAATATTTCAATATATTGTTAAATTGACTTAAATGACTAAGATTGTGGCTTAAATGACTAAGATTGTGGTGGAGAGGATATTCCCCAAACTAACTCTTTCTCTGACATTTAGGGGTTCATTGTAATAGTAACACCTTGCTAGCAATCATCTACTAGTGATATGCTCATGGAACATGCCGGAGAGAAGGTGTGTCTGAGTCCTAGACCGTCTCCCATCCCAGTACCTGTAAATGTCACCTTATTTTGAAATAGGAGCTTTACAGATATAATAAAGTTAAAGATCTCAGGTGAGATCATCCTGAATTTAGAGTGAGTCATGGATATGTATATATGCAAATATATATTACATGCCTGTGGAGGCAGGGTGTATATAATATGTATATATATTAGGTATGTATTTGTGTGTATATATGTGTGTGTGTATATATATATATATATATATATATATTATATACACCCTGCCTCCACATGCATGGCCTCCCTCATTATCAGTATCCTCCCCCAGAGTGGTACAACTGTTAAAATTGACTTGCCTATATTAATACAATGTTATCACCCAGTGGTAAATATACATAACATAAAAGGTATAATTTAATCATTTTAAATTCTAAAACTCAGTGATATTGAATACATTCACGATGTTGTATAATTAACACTGTTTTCCTAACTTTGATATCACGTCAAACAGAAATTCTGTACCATTAAGCAATAATTTTCCATTCCCCTTGCCCCAGCCTCCATGCCCTGGAAACATGCAATCTGCATTCCCTCTACATGAATTTGACTATTCATGATCTTTCATATAAGTAGAATCATATACTATTTGTCCTTTTCTATCTCACTTATTTTATTTATCATGTTTTCAAGATTTATCCATGTTGTAAACATGTGTCAGAACATCATTCCCTTTTTATGGCTAAATAATATTCTCTTGTATGTACATGCCACATTTTGTTTATCCACACATACAGGTTTGTTTTCACTTTTTGACTCTTGTGAATAAGAATGAGTGATGGTATCTGGCATGTGCATGCAGCCACTTTCTTACTAAAGACCAATAGCATCAAGCACTCCACCAATGGTTGTTATTTATCTGATTAGGATCCAGAGTTCCAAAAATGTTAATTCTTATTTTTTCCACTTTAATGGCAGTTTTTGTGAAGGGACTGACTTCTAAAACTTCCTATTCCAATCTTCTAAAATCCACTTCAAAAGAATGGTTTAAATTCTTTGCTTGTAGGATGAAATTGATAAAAAAAATATTTTACCAACTTTCAAAATTGCATCGCAGAGATAATGTCTTTGACTGTTGGGTGTTCACATATTTGGCATGTTATAAACAACTTTCTGGAAGATAAAGGCGTTTTATCTCATACTTAATATTGACAGGAACCATTGGGCTAGCAATGGCTTTTGGGTTTGATGTGATATATTTGTATGTAATGAGTTTTTAAAAGTTAGAGTGAAAAGTCATCTCATACAAAACAAAATAGTTTTTACTGTTACAAGAAAGTAGTTATTAATTACTTATAAAACCTGCAAGTATCTTTATATTTGGTGACTTATTTTTCTCCAGTCATCTTGTATTGTTATTAGTGGAGAAAAAAATATGAGTGCTCTTTATCTATGACAATGTGGAAAGTATATATAAGGTTTCCCTAAAAATTCTTCTTCTAAGTTTTTAATCCTCTAAAACCATCATGGATATGTACAAATAAATATTGATAATAGCAACTTAAGGATCATTTTTACTGCTATCAGAAATTGAAAATACTGCAACAGTCCATCAATAGAGAAATGGTTATGTATATTATGATATATAGCATACATAGCATATGTCCATATATAGAATATGTACCAAATGTATACAACAACGTACAATGAATACACGATTATACTAAGATGGATAGGCATGGATCCACACATTACTCTGTTTGTACATGGTCTTTTCCAAAAAGTAATAAAATGTAAGAAAGAAGAAAAGAAAAAAAAGAGAAAGAGAATAAAGGCAACTAAATAAAATATAAACCAGGATGCATAAGTGGTCTCATCTTAGGACTGGAACACCAGTAAAGCCTCTCCTCTCTGGAAAAAGTTTAGGTCTCTGAAGTTTTCTCAGTGCATCATAACTGACAGCAGCAGGAATGTGGTTTTGCTAACGGCAACAGAAAAGCAAAACTGTCTCAAGATTGTAATATTAATCCAAAGGTGAAACTTTCTTACCTTAGTATTGCTGCTTTCTGTATGCACATCCGAAAGGACCTAGGAAGGTGGAAACAACATAGGAAGGTGACAAATGTAGAAAGTAAAAAAATAAGGTAAACTTAAAAGGTAATAAGACTAACATTCATTCATTCACATTAAGCTCCTAACTTGTAACACATTTTCTTGTAGGCCTGTAGCAGTGAAAAAAACGAAAGAAAAAAATATATGCCTTTTTGGGGCTTATATTCTCTTGGAAGGAGATATATAATAACATAAGTAATTAAACTATATAATATGTTAAGTGTTGATAAGTGCTATGGAGGAAAGTAAGGCAGACAAAGCAATCAGGCAGGAGAAAGAAATAAAGGGTATCCAATTAGGAAAACAGGAAGTCAAATTGTCCCTGTTTGCAGATGACATGATTGTATATCTAGAAAACCCCATCGCCTCAGCCCAAAATCTCCTTAAGCTGATAAGCAACTTCAGCAAAGTCTCAGGATACAAAATCAATGTGCAAAAATCACAAGCATTCTTATACACCAATCACAGACAAACAGAGAGCCAAACCATGAGTGAACTCCCATTCACAATTGCTTCAAAGAGAATAAAATACCTAGGAATCCAACTTAAAAGGGATGTGAAGGACCTCTTCAAGGAGAACTACAAACCACTGCTCAATGAAATAAAAGAGGACACAAACAAATGGAAGAACATTCCATGCTCATGGATAGGAAAAAGCAATATTGTGAAAATGGCCATACTGCCCAAGGTAATTTATAGATTCAGTGTCATCCCCATCAAGCTACAAATGACTTTCTTCACAGAATTAGAAAAAAACTACTTTAAAGTTCATATGGAACCAAAAAAGAGCCCGCATTGCCAAGTCAATCCTAAGCCAAAAGAACAAAGCTGGAGGCATCACGCTACCTGACTTCAAATTACAATATGAGGCTACAGTAACCAAAACAGCATGGTACTGGTACCAAAGCAGAGATATAGATCAATGGAACAGAACAGAGCCCTCAGAAATAATACCACACATCTACAACCAGCTGATCTTTGACAAACCTGACAAAAGAAATGGGGAAAGGATTCCCTATTTAATAAATGGTGCTGGGAAAACTGGCTAGCCATATGTAGAAAGCTGAAACTGGATCCCTTCTTTACACCTTATACAAAAATTAATTCAAGATGGATTAAAGACTTAAATGTTAGACCTAAAACAATGAAAACCCTAGAAGAAAACCTAGGCAATACCATTCAGGACATAGGCATGGGCAAGGACTTCATGTCTAAAACACCAAAAGCAATGGCAACAAAAGCCAAAATTGACAAATAGGATCTAATTAAACTAAAGAGCTTCTGCACAGCAAAAGAAACTACCATCAGAGTGAACAGGCAACCTACAGAATGGGAGAAAATTTTTGCAATCTACTCTTCTGACAAAGGGCTAATATCCAGAATCTACAATTAACTCAAACAAATTTACAAGAAAAAAACAAACAACCCCATCAAAAAGTGGGCGAAGGATATGAACAGACACTTCTCAAAAGAAGACATTTATGCAGCCAAAAGACACATGAAAAAATGCTCATAATCACTGGCCATCAGAGAAATGCAAATCAAAACCACAATGAGATACCATCTCACACCAGTTAGAATGGCAATCATTAAAAAGTCAGGAAACAACAGGTGCTGGAGAGGATGTGGAGAAATAGGAACACTTTTACACTGTTGGTGGGACTGTAAACTAGTTCCACCATTGTGGAAGACAGTGTGGTGATTCCTCAAGGATCTAGAACTAGAAATACCATTTGACCCAGCCATCCCATTACAGGGCATATACCCAAAGGATTATAAATCATGCTGCTATAAAGACACAGGCACACATGTGTTTACTGCAGCACTATTCACAATAGCAAAGACTTGGAACCATCCCAGATGTCCATCAATGATAGACTGGATTAAGAAAATGTGGCACATATATACACCATGGAATACTACACAGCCATAAAAAAGGATGAGTTCATGTCCTTTGCAGGGACATGGATGAAGATGGAAACCATCATTCTCAGCAAACTATTGCAAGGACAAAAAAACCAAACACCGCATGTTCTCACTCATAGGTGGGAATTGAACAATGAGAACACTCGGACACAGGAAGAGGAACATCACACCCTGGGGCCTGTTGTGGGGTGGGGTTAGGGGTGAGGGATAGCATTAGGAGATATACTTAATGTAAATGACGAGTTAATGGGTGCAGCACACCAACATGGCACATGTATACATATGTACCAAACCTGCACATTGTGCACATGTACCCTAGAACTTAAACTGTAATAAAAAAAAATCTAAAATAATAAAAAATTTAAAAAAGAAATTTAAAAAAACAAAACAAAAACAAAAAAACAAAGCAAATAAAGAACACGAGGAGGAGATATAATTTTAAGTAGGGAAAAAAGGAAGGCATGAAGGAGACAGTAACGTATGAGTGAAAGACTTGAAAGAGGTGATATGGTTTGACTGGGTCCCCCACTAAATCTAAAGCTTGAATTGTAGTTCACATAATCCCCATGTGTCATGGGAGGGACCTGGTGGGAGATAATTTAATCTTGGGGTCAGTTACCTCCATGCTGCTGTTCTTGTGATATGAGTGAGTTCTCATGTTCTACGATGGTTTTATTAGGGTTTTTTCCCCCTATTTTGCTTGGCACTTCTCCTTGCTGCCACCACTTGAAGAAGGATGTGTTGCTTTCCCTTATCATGGTTATAAGTTTCCTGAGGTCTCACCAGCTATGCAGAACTGTGACTCAAGTAAGCCTCTTTCCTTTATAAATTACCCAGTCTAGGATACGTTTTTATTAACAGCATGAGAAGGAACTAATACAGAAGGTAAGAAAACAATCCAAGGGGGGATTTGAAGACAGGTGTTTTCAGTCACAGAAACCATGTAAAAAGCATCTAATGTGAGAGTGCTGTGATCTGAATGTTGACAACCCCCCGAAATTCATATGTTGAAATCTAATTCACAGTATGGTACATTAAAAGTTAAGGTCTTTGGAAGGTGTTTATGTCATGAATACAGAGCCTTCATGAAGGAGATTGGTGCCTTCATAAAAGATGCCTGAGGGGGTTGGTTTTTACCTTCCACCATATGATGACTCCACCATATGAAGAAGAAGATGGGTCTATGAACTAGGAAATGGGGCCTCACCATATAGGGAATATGTGAGCACCTTGATCTTGGACTTAGCTTCCAGAACTGTGAAAAATAAATTTATGTCATTTATAAGCTACTTATTATATGATATTTTGTTATAGCTGCTCAAATGGACTAACACAGAGACAATTCCCAGCCTGCCCAAAGAGCATCAGGAAGTGTTGGGTACAGTGAAGCTGGAACAGAGCCATGAGGGGAAGAGCAACAGGGCTGTGATCAAAGAGGTGTGCCTGGTGGGCAGCATGAGTAGAGCTGTATAATCTGTACAATAATGACTCAGAGTGGAATTAGAAGTCCTTAAAAGTTGGTGAGCAGAGTGGCATGATCTCTATTATATGATGTTATATTCTTGCTTGGATATTGAGAATAGACTGAAGGTGAAGGCTAATGCAGAAGCAGGAAGGGAGCTAAAAATTCAGATGAGACATGATGTTGGCTTGGCCTGGGTTGATAACTGCAGTAGTAAAAATTATTTAAATGTTTTGAAGGTAGGTTTGCTGAGAAGTAATTTTGGAGGTACATTACCAAGACTAAATTTATATTTTATAAAATGAACAAATTTAAGGTGTATACCTTAACTTTATATATTTATGCACTCATATTCGCACCACCCATATTAAGATAAAGAACAGTTTCACTACCACAGAAAATCTTCTGGTGCTTTATTCCAGTCAATAACAACCACTGGTCAAAGGATATTCTACTATGACCATAGTTTTCTTTTGCCTCTCACTAAACTTAATTTGTCTGGAGTCATATATATTTTAAGCTTCTGTGTTTGACCTATTTTACTCAACATGATGTTTTGTAGAGATATCCATGCTGTTTTATGTGTCAATATTTTATTTTTTATTGCTATGTATTATTACTCTGTAAGTCAATATCATAATTTGTTTATCTCTTCTCCTCTTTATAGATGTTACATCCAGTTTTTGCCTACAAAGAAAAATAAACTGCTATGAATAATTTTATATCTGTCTATTCTGTGAATACACACCCTCCCTGATTTATTTTTGGAATATACCTATAAATTGAATTACGATGTCATTGGGCATGTGTGCAGTTTAACTTTATAAGAAATAGCCAAACTTCTTTAAGATGTAGCTATACAATTTACTCTCCCACCACAAATGTATGAGATTTTCTTTGTTTCAGAACCTCTTCAAAATTGCTATATTCAGTTCCCAATTGTTTTTTTCTTAAGAGATGGGGTCTTGCTCTGTCACACAGGCTGGAGTGGAATGGCACAATCATAGCTCACTGCAGCCTTGAACTCCTGGGCTCAACCTATCCTCCCATACTGGTCTCCAGGTATTTAGCCATTTTAATTTTACCAGTTCTCTTGGATATGTAGTGACATCTCATTCAGGTTTTTATTTTCATTTTTCTGATGACCAACTGTTCAGCACATTTTCTTATCCTGATTACCCACTTGGCTGTCTTCTTTTATGAACTTACTGTTCAAGTCTTTTGCCCACTTTTAATTGAGTGATTTATCTTCTGCATAACAATTTTTAGGATTTATTTACTCTCCATAGAAATCTTCTGTCAGGTCTATGTATTTCAAATATGTTGTCTAACCGTGACATTTCTATTCATTTTTAATTGGGATAAAAACATAACTTGTGATCTATCCTCTTAATAAGGTTTTAAATGTACAATATAGTACTGTTAAGTATAGGCATGATGTTGTACAGAAAATCTCTGGAACTTATGCAACTTACACAACTAAAACTTTATACCCGTTGAACAACAACCCTTCTTCCTCCTTCCCCTTACCATTCTACTCTCTATTTCTATGAGTTTGACTATTTTAGAAAGCTCATATAAGTGAAATCATGCAGAATTTGTCCCTCTGTGACTGACTTATCATGCTTAGCATGATATCCTCCAAGTTCATCCATGTTGTTGCAAATGGCAGAATGTCCTTCCTTCTTAAAGCTGAAAATATTCCGTTGTATTTATACACCACATTTTCTTTATCCATTAATGCACTAATGGACATTTAAGTTTTCAAATTTTGGTTTTTTGTGAGTAATGCTGCAAAGAACAGGGGTATGCAGGTAAGTCTACCACATTCTAATTTCCATTCTTGTGGACATATGCCCAAGAGTAAGATTGCTGGATCATATAGTAGTTCTAATTTTAGTTTTTTTGAGGAACCTCCATACTGTTATTCACAGTGGCTGAACCAATTTACATCCCAATTTACAGCAAGAGTGTACAAGGGTTCATCACTGCCAACACTTGTTATGTCTTGTTTTGTTTTATAATGGCTCGCCTAATGGGTGTGAAATGATATCATATTGTGGCTTTCATTTGTATTTCTCTGATCATTAGCAATGTTGAACATCTTTTCATATACCTTTTGGCTATTTGTATGTCTTTGAAGAAATTTATTCAGTCACTTTGCCCCCTTTTAAGTTATTTTTTCTGTTGTTGAAGGAGTTCCTTATATATGTAATGAGGTTTTTAAATAAATGAATATAAGTTTAATATAGTAAAAACATTAATACAATTTTTATTTTTATGTTTAATACATTCTGTACTCCAGAATGTATTAAAATTAAAAATTAATTGTTTATCTCACCCAAGATTATTATGATGTTCCTTAAAGTATTCTTCTAGAAGCTTTAGCATTCATATTTAGGTCTGTGATCCATCTTACACTGAATATTGTGGATGATATGAGTGAGATATTAATATTAATGAAAATGCTAATTATAATAGATTCTCACGTCCTAGCCAAAGCTTTTGTATATTAGGATCTCTTGAGGTCTAGGTTATTTAAAGGTAATAGACAATCAGTTTTAATGAATTTGTTTTCTTTTTCTATCTGGTGGTTCTTAACCTTTGTTCCATATTAGAATCAAGTGGTTAGCTTGCTTGCTTTGTTTTGTCTTTGCTTTTAATACCACTGCTTCAATCATACCTTCAAAAATTCTAATTTGATAACCTGGACATCAGGATTTTTTGGAGGGTGGGGGACAGGGTCTCACTCTGTCACCTGGGCTAGTGTACTGTGGCATGATCACAGATCACTGCAGCCTCGAACTCTTGGGCTTGAGGGATCCTTCTGCCTCAGCCTCTCACGTAGTTTGAATTACAGGTGTGAGCCACCATGCCTGGTGACACTGGGATTTTAATGCATCTCTGGGTGAGTCTAACATAAAGCCAAGTTTAGGAATCATTGACAAGCTCCAGAAGCCTGGAAAAATGTATACGTGAAGATAGAGGTTAGCGTTACTCTCTCATTGGATGAAAACACCTGACAAGATTTACTTATTTATTTATTTATTTATTGGGAAACAACATTGGAAGCAGTTTCTGCTCTGCCTCTTTAATCCCTTGGCCAACGCAATCTTGAGTTCTGCACAGTCTCACTATTAAGTCTTGTAGGGTGAATACATCTTTACTTCAAGTTTTCATGCACTTTATCTTCATCTCGGAGAATTATTATTTGAAAAAAGTTCTCAATATAAAACTCATATTAAGTAAAAGACATATAATACATTGTAATAATTCAGCAAATATTGCTTATGGTGTTGTACTTACCTGACACTTGTGAAAAATTTAAGGAAAAATTTTAAATAGTTTTACATTACTTTCATAGAAGAACCACAGTAATATAAGAGCTCTGCAAGTCCACGTTTTACTACGTTGCATTATTTGAAAAGCAAACTAATTTTGAAGTATCTGATGATTTCAAAACACAGTTCACTATTATTTAATTAGTGAAGGGAGATGCATGTGAGGATTTGAAATATAATTTTTAACGTTGACTTAGATACTTTCCCGAAATACCATAAAAGTAAATGGTATTTATATATTTGTTTGTAAGATGCTATGATTTTAAATTTAAAAGTCTATGTAGCTTTTTCTGAAGGAAGCTGCTCTACCATTGTAGAAGCAATTTTGGGGCATTTCTCTTACTTGATTGACTCTTTTCTTATCCAGATGCTACCCATTTTCAAGATTGCACAAACTCCACTTCTATAAGGGAACTCAGCCCACAAGGCTCTCATGTACATCAGTAACGTCTATATCTTTATTTACCACATATGACTTGCCCTATCAAATGAAATTATATACCACGAAGTCAGGATCATATCTCAACTCTTCTGTAAACTCCACAATGCATAGCATAGTGTTACTCATGGGAAGAATCAAATACTTGTGATTGAAATGGGTTAACATTCTTCTCACGTTAAGGAACATACTTCTTTTATTGTACCTGTTGTTACGCAGGGTGTAAGATTTATTCTTTTCCCCAGAGTTGATATCAATACTTTAAAAATATGTAAAAATTGAAGATAAATGGGGAAACAAACAATTTATGAAGGTCAAAACTATGAAGTAAATTTCAGTTCATGGTTATTTGGCAGAAATACTAGGTTGGAGAGTATGGTTCACATATGAGACCAAATTAAATATTATTTAATAGATTTATTTCATACTTAGTTGAAGGAAAGCAAGAAGTAAAAACTTAGCTTGACCAAAAACCTGACTTGCTTTTGGCAAAAATTGTGGTGGAGAGAGAAGAGAGAGAGAGAGAGAGAGAGAGAGAGAGAGAGAGAGAATGAAGAAAGAGAATGAATAACCTCTACCCTGTGAGAAAGTCTTTCCATTCCAAATGACACAAATAGAGAATCTAATGAATCTGAGTCTAGGAAAGTCAAAAAGGAAGCAGATTGGTATCCAATCATTGAAGACAATAAACCTGAACACTAAGAAGACATGACTAAATAAATGTCAGGTTCTAAACAATTAAACTGGTTACTTCTCTTACACTGAAGTAAACAGAGACTGGAAATCTCTGTCTCAACTCTCCCTATCAACTCAATACCTTGGAGTCGAACATAGTTTTCCAAATAAAAAGATAATGAGGCAGAATATGACACCTTGATTACTAAATGTTCTAGTTCATATTGAATATTTCCATCTGAACTTGAAAGCCAAGGTCTCGGGGACCCATTTTTAATGTGCTTTTCAAAAAATTCATATTAATTACTTTATATGTAATTAACAAATAATTAGATATGAGGCTCATAAATGAAATATTTATGTTCATATAATATGGCTAATGTATGGTAACAATAGTATTAAATCTATAGATCTATGATGGGAGATTTACTAGAAAAACAATAGTAGGTCTCCCAACCCATGAGCATAGAATGATTTTCCATTTGCTTAGATTATTAGTTTTCAGCATACAAATCTTAGACATATTTTGCTAAATTTATTTCCAAGGGTTTATTTTTATAGTATTGTGAATATAATTATTTTTAAAAAAAATTTTTTAAGAGAGAAATTGTCTTGCTCTGTCTACCAGACTGTAGTGCAGTGTCTCCCAATCATAGCTCACTGCAACCTCAAACTCCTGGGCTCAAGCAATCCTCCTGTCTCAATCTCCTGAGTACCTAGGACTGAGAGGTGAAAGCCACCATGCCTGGCTAATTTAAAAAAATAATAATAAATTCATAGAGAAGAGGATCTCTCTTTGTTGCCCAGGCTGGTTCTGAACTCCTAGACTCAAGTAATCCTCCTGACTTGACCTCCTAAGGCACTGGGATTACAGGCCTGAGCTATTGCGCCCGGCCACTTCGATTTCTTGATGGCTTTATCAATATATTCTTCATTGTATTGACTATAACTTCCAGTGCAATACTGGATAGAATTAATGAGAGTGAACATTAGAGACATCTTTGGCATGTTGCCAATTTTGAGGGGAAAACATCCAGTCTTTCACCATTAGATATGCCGTAAAATGTAATGTTTTGAGTTGTTGTTGTTGTTGTTGTTGATGTCCTCTAACAGGTTGAGGAATTTCCATTCTATTTTTTTATTAATTAATGTTAGATTCTGTCAAATCCTTTTCCTGCATCATTGAGATAATCATTTCATTTTAGTTCTTTATTTTATAACATAGTATATTACATTAGTTACTTTTTAAGTACTAAAACAATCTTGCATTTCTGGGATTAATTTCACTTAGTCATGGAGTGTAATCATTTTTATATATGGTTGAATTTAGTTTGATAATATTTTATTGGAGATTTTTGTGTCTATATTTGTGAGGTATATAGATCTGTAATTTTATTTTTATTTTTTTCTTTTTAAAAATTTCTCCTCCTTTCTTTCTTTTTTCATTTTTGCTTTTGAATATAGGCCTGATAACATGAATTGGGAAGTTTCTCTCTTTTTCTATTTTCTGAGTATGGGTATCATTTCTTCGTTGAATACATGAAATAACTTACCAGTGAAGTCATGTAGTCCTATATATTCCCTTACATAAGACTTTTAATTGCTAATTAAAATTTAATTGCATATTTATTCAGATTTTCTATTCATTTTTGTTTCAGCTGCAGTAATTTATATATTTTTAAGACTTCATACCTTAAATGTAAGTTGTATAATTTGTGGTCACAAAGCATTTTATAGTATTTCCCTTGTAATTCATATATTTGGATGGGATGAGGGAGGATTGGTAGTAGTAACCTTTGTTCCTGATTTTGGTAATCGACACATTCTCTCTTTTTTCTTTTCTTTCTTTCTTTCTTTTTTTTTTTTTTTTCTTTTTTGAGATGGAGTTTCGCTGTTGTTGCCCAGTCTGGAGTGCAATGGCAGGATCTGGGTTCACTATAACCTCCACCTCCCAGGTTCAAGCGATTCTCCTGCCTCAGCCTCCCGAGTAGCTGGGATTACAGGTACCCGCCACCACGCCCAGCTAATTTTTGTATTTTTAGTAGAGACTGGGTTTCACCATGTTTGCCAGGCTAGTCACAAACTCCTGGCCTCAAATGATCCACCCGCCTCGGCCTCCCAAAGTGCTGGGATTTTAGGTGTGAGCCACTGTGCCCAGCCTTTTTTATTATTTATCATCTAAATATTTCTCACTTTTGTTTATCTTTTCAAAGATTCAAACTTTGGATCATTAAACTTCTTTATTGTTTTTTGCTTCATTTGCTGTTTGATTTCTGCTCTAATCTGTATTATTTCTTCATTTTTCTTGCTTTGTGCTCACTTTAGTCTTCCTTTTAACTTCTAAAGTTGGGAGAATGAATTATTAATTTAAGAACTCTCTTTTTAAAATAACCTTTAAATTTTGATATAATTGTAGATTTACTTGCAGTTGTAAGAAATAATATAGAGAGATCTCTTGTAACCTTATCTCAGTTCTCCCAATGGTAACATCTTGCAAAACGATAGTACAATATCATAACCAATATATGGAGATTGATATAGGTAACATACAGAATATTTCCATTACCATGGAATCCCTCATGTTGTTCTTTCCTAGCCACATCCATTTTCCTCTTTTTCACCTCGTCTTTAACCCTTGACAACCACTAATCTTTCCTCCATTCTCATAATTTTGTCACTTCAGTAATGTTATATAAGGGAAATTCCACATCACATAATCTTTTCTGATTATATTTATTTACTCAGCATAATTCTCTGAAGATTTATGGAGGTTGTTGCCTATATCAATAACTTGTTCTTTTTGTTGCTAAGTAGTGCTTCACTGCATGAATGTAATACATTTTGTTTAAACTTATTTACTCCTTCAAAAATGTCTGGATTGTTTCCAGTTCGGGATTATTAAAAATAAAGCTGCTCTGAATATTTGTGTAAAGTTTTTGAATTAACATGGTTTTTAAAAATTACTCCGCTGTAAATGCTCAGGAGTGAAATTACTGAGTCATAATGTCATTGCATGTTAAATTGTTTGTTTGCTTTTTAAAGCAAGTATCAGATTGTTAAAGAGAATGGCTTTATTATTTTACATTCCCATCAACCATGCAGGAGTTACGTAGTTTCCTGCAGCCTTGCCAGCACTCAGTATTGTCATTATATTTTTAATTTAACTATTATCTTGAGTATATATTGAAATCCCACTGGGGTTTTAATTTTTCATTTCCCTAATGGCTAATGATGTTGACATATTTTCATGCTCTGATTTTCTAAACATATATTCTTTTCAGTGAAATGTATATTCATGTCTTTTGCCCACTTTCTAATTTGACTTTGTTCACTCTTAAGTTTTGAAATTTCTTTATATATTCTTTATACTAGTCTTTTTCAGACACATGGCAAGCAAAAGGGGAAGGAAGGAGCACCTTTTTACCATCAAGTTGAGATGAAGGTCAAGGTTCCCCATTAGGCCTCCCTTGCCACACAAAAAGTAAATACTCTGGGTTTTCAAGGTAAAGTAATGAATGCCAAGAAAGACTCAAATTTTATTTATGTACTAATCATAAAGATGAACTATATTATTTAGATAATCAGAAAAAATAGACAACTTAAGGTTGAGTGAAGGAAACCAAAACTGTGGTTCTACTATCTTCAACTCTCATTGCTAATTGTATTCATGAGATAAAAATCATGACTAAGTAAACTAGGACAATCATGTTTTACCCCATTTTAAACAATATATCCAATTACTGGATGGGAGTCATATTGGTGGCAATCTTTATTTTGGTTAAGTTGCTTTGTTATCTAATGGGGTTTCATAAGAGATTTATTTCACAAAATATAAATGTTTAACAGACCACCCTTTGGGGCACAGGAATAACCAAAATAATCCCCTTCCAAAATGCTTTTTCTTTTGAAGCTATTGATCTTCTTGTATACATCTAGGGTTGTGAAATGAAATGGATGGTAATTAAAGAAAATGTCTAGCTGACACATAGTTGTCACATTTTTTCTTATTTATACTTTATCTATATCCAGCTCTGTGTATGAATGGATTAATACTAGCCATTATTTGTTGTGCCAATAAGCAGTGGCAATTTTGTGGTGGTGATACTATCACAGTGGGCTAAAGAAGGACATCAGGTTTGGGGTTTGCTTTTTGTTTCTTTCTTTCTTTTTTTCCTTTATCTTATAGGGTTTCTTTTTCTCTTTTTTTCTCTTACCTAAAGCTGGTCCTCCATTGAAAATGACTTCTTTTACCTTTCATTTATATTCACTGAAATGATACTTGACCTATTTTTTTTTCAAAATTATACTAACATTTATAACAATTATCTAGAGAAACAATATGGTATGATAGTTATATGCATAGCTCTGATTTCAGAGTGCCTATCTTTGAATACCTACAATCACACAATGGATCCATATAGTAATGATTAAAATGTTCTCTGCCTGAGTTTCATCTTTCATAAAATAAAAATAATAATAGTGTCTTACTTGTATGCTTCTCATGATAATTAAATTGCTAATAGATATATGTCACCAGAATACTATGCCTTCAGTAAATGCTAACAATTATTATTATTATATTAGAAAAGTTCCTTCTTCATGTCACTGACCTGCTGTTAACCTGTAGTGTCTTTTGTGTAGCTCACACACAGTTCTCTGTACAGCCATTGTGAGCAGCTGTATTACATTCATTTCATTAACTGTATTTGTTCAAATTGTTGCAGGGCTCCTACTAACCTATGTAACCCTCAGAGCTCCAAACAATATTGTCTTATCATTATCTTTCTACCTTTTTAAATTCCCTTGACTTTATCTTAATTTTCTTTTTGTCTGCTCTAACCTGTACTGTTGTTATTAGATTATTTAAAACATTTTTTCTTCAAGAAAGCCTTCCCAATTTATCAGTATCCTACTCAGAACTGTTTTAACTCAGGCCCTCTTACGATTAGTTGATATACATTTATTTATAATGAGTGGTATATTTTAATTCATTTTCTCTGGTTTTATTTTTTTTAACTAAGAATGTCATTGAAAAAAAGATATTTATTCCTTCCATATTTTCCTATAAACTCAAAAGCCTATTAAAATGTTAACTATATAGAAAATACATAATACATGCTGGTGACAAATTTATTTATCATAAAAATATCTTAGTATCTTTATATGTGGATGATATTGACAAAAATTTTCCCTTTAGTGATACTATAATTGACTTTTAAAAGGTCTTGTTATTTATTAACGTGTCTAAGGGCTTTCCGATAATAACTGAGAAAAATAGGTCATTGAACCTTGAGAGTTTCACAGGCTTATTCTACTTCTGAGGTGAGATGAGAAGCCATAGACAGACTATCTCTCAACTATGATAGTAATCATAATTGAGCTCAGAATTAAAAGTGGGATTTTGCTTTACTAGGTCTTAAGCTTATTATCCTTTATTACCCATTATTTCACACTTTGCAAATGACTGGGCATTTTGCCAGCGATCACAATGAATAAAATGTGGCTTCAGCAGCCTATTATTGTGCTCAATGTCTTTGCAAGTTGCTGGCAAACATGATTTTATTTTAGATACTGTTATATGAAGTACTTTTAAAAAATTTATAGTTTGCCAATTTATTCATAAATTTCTTAATATCTCATTTTCATTATTAACACATTTACATACAGTGCTTCACACTTATCTATAAAATAGTGAATTCTACATCAAAAGTATTTAACAAGGGCACTGGTGGATAAAGTGACTATACTTCCAAAGCAAAAGTCATCCCTTTTTAATTTATCAGTTTAGATGGAGAATGTTTAATGTTACTTGTAAATAATGGACTAACAAAAATCCACTAACCCTACCTTTTGGATTTTTATATGCAAAATAGAGTTGTGTTAGACTGTCTTGAAATTGACTGACCTGCTCTATATAAAGGCATGAGGTGATCAGGAATACTACATTCTAAGGATACGGGAGTTTTGAAAATTCCCCCATGCAATATGAATGCGGAATGCAGGTGTACTTGTTTTTATATATACTCTATTCAAGTATACACATTTATTAACTACTTTCTGTGTTAGTCTGCCACAGTATCATGAATGCTGGGAGAAGATACAGGACCCCTGGTTCATGGACAAGGACTTTATTTCTCAAGGCACAGCAAGGGGCATGAGTCCCTCATTCTTATTGTTCCTTTTACCCCAAAAGTCTAACAAGACAAAGTAGAGGGACCTGGGTAGATACTACACACAGTGGATTTACATCAGAGCTGAGTTACTCTAGGCTGAAGGAGCCCAATCATTTTGTCATGAGATATAAGCAAACCTGCCCAGGATTTGCCTTGGAGGGAGACATCTTTATTATCAATAGGTAAGAAAATCTATTCTTGCTTTAGTCTTTCATAGCTGTTCTCTATACAAAGATCCTTTAAAAGAGAGCCTAGTGCAGAACAACAGTTGTGCAGAAATGCAAAAGACACTTGGAGGACTGTCTCCTAACACCTATCAAGTGCAGAGTACTACACTAGGTATCAGGGAAAGAAAGATGAAATTATTTGGCTCATGGAAATTAGCAGCTCACTTAAAAGAAGCATGAGTGGAAAGTTAGTTATGGTAACGCAGGAGAGGAAGTGTTACCATAATGTTTAAAACAGGGAGACATTTAGTCAAGTCTAGGAGGTCAGGGAATACTTTTCAAAGTTAATACCTGATAAGAGTTTTGATGTAAAATTTCTCAAAACGCTTCTACGTACATGTGTCTTTCTTACTTTCTTAAGAGTTCTGGGTTATACAAAAGTCAAGAATTTCAGGGCTTTGTATTAAAAATTGCTCAACATATATTTCTAAGATTTATTTGCTACCAGTATCCTCCTTTAGCTAAAATTTCTTAAGGTTTCAAGATTATATAAAGATAATGAAAACTAATCTGAATTAGAGTTTTTGCTTAACTAGTAGGATCTTGGAAATTATCTTGAAGAATATAAGAAGATTTTGATAATAATTTTATTTGCAAACTCTTGCCCATAACAATAATGTTTTATAATTTTATCTCCTTCTACTCTCACTTGAATATACAATGTTCAACTAAAACCACTTATAAAAGAAGCAGGAATATAAGAACATTTAGCCTTTGGGGAATCTTATTTCCTATCTTGTTGCCTATGGCCTCCAAAGAGGAATTTGTAGATCCCTATTTCCCCGCAAGATGATCTATTATGGTGGATTATAACTTCTATGTCTCATTTTATCTCATAATGGATAAAGAAAACGTGGCACATATACACTGTGGAATACTATGCAGCCATAAAAAAGGATGAGTTCATGTCCTTTGCAGAGACATGGATGAAGCTGGAATCCATCATTCTCAGCAAACTAACACAGGAACAGAAAACCAAACACCTCCCAAATTAAATGCTTTCCTGATCAAAGAACACATATCACTCCTTTATCCATCCATCATCATTTAACTACAAATGCCACTGTACACGTCTCTGAGCTCTTTCCCTCATGATGGAAGAAAAATGACATGAACAATTAGAAAATACCACCTGCTCAGTGCTTAATGCAGAGAAAAAAAAATGGATGTAGAGTTTGAAATTTGAAATTAAAAATCAATTAGCCTATGCTTAGTACGTTACTTATACTACCAACCATGGAAGATTTAAGGTACTGAAGGTGTGAAATAGAATATTGCACTATGGATGGCTGTTTTCTCTTTGGAAATTTCTGTCTAAAGGCTGTCAAGCAAGGAGTGTGACTCATAAGGCTACTGTAGGCCTGTCTCTATATTCAACACTTGCTGTTTGGAGCATGATAACAACAGTTGTTATAAGTGAATATATGAAGTCGACAAGACAGTACATCAGATGGTCCAAAGGTGGCCTGTTGAAGCTTCATTTGTGGCTGAAAGTTTCCCCGATGTAAAAAAATGAAGGAAAAGATGGTTTTCAGCAGGCTTATTTGATGCCAAAGCTCAAAACCCGGAGAATTTTTATTTATCTCTAAAAATAAAAGAGAAGACCACAAATTATATTGCCTCATACTTGTATTTTTGAGCAAACCCAATCGTGGTAGAAAAAGAGGCAGAGAACTGAAAGAGGACAGATGACTCAATATTGAACTAATATTTGTTCTAACTATTCTCTATCATTTAGCATCCCACCAAGAATACAAGTGACGTCTCTTCTTCAAAATTTCTCATCTTAGGTTCATTTGTAATCCATTTTCTTCTTGATGGTTTTTTCTTTTAGGTTTTTTTTTCAGTTGAAGAAGTAATATTCATCAGATTACATTCATATTAATAGTAGTTTTTTATTTCAATAGAACATAGGATGAAAATTTTGACTATAACAATAAATATATATTATATAATATGTATAAATATAATATATGTAATATATATAAATAATATAAATATATATAAATATAATATATATAATTATCTATAAATATATATACTTATAGATATTAAATAATATAACAGTTGAGAGTATACAAGTTCAATATTTTAGGGAAATACAATGTCAGATTCTATCAAGCTCTATTCTCAAACTAAAATAATAGCAGTTTGCTTTCAGATATTTTGAATATTATTGTGACATTTCTCCCTTATACCTTTCTGGGACCTTGGATATAGGAACCATGTGAGGGTAAATAGTCTATGTCTTCATTTTTGGGACAGGGGTGATATACTACAGTTCCACAGGGGCTGAGCCAGGTTTCAACGGTGAGATAGAGAGCTGATGGTAAAAATAACAATTAGAGCAAAGGCCAAAATATATGGAATATTTATTACGTGTCAGATTCTAGCACAATATTTCTTCAGATCTATGAAGATCTTAATCTTATATAGTAAATGGTTTTATTATAGCCACTTTACAAAATAGAAACACTAACATAAAAAAGTTAAATCATCTGTTTAAATTAACTTGGATTATGAACCCAATTAGCTGTGTCCTTAGAACAGAAGCTGTTAGCACTACACTGAACTATACCACACTTGCAAGCTTTCAGAGGAAGATTCCCTAAGAGAAAATGGTATCTATGACTCAGTATTTCTTCTCATACCCTCAGTGACTTACAGTATTTATTTGCTAAATGCCAAAGCAGATAGTCCAATAGGAAATACGTAGCTAAATGGCCTGGGAAGAGAAGGGAATGCCAAATAACAGGCAAAATAGAATCTGACACCCTAGGTCTCAGCAAGTGTTTTTGAATGGACAATAAAGAAAGTGACTAGAATGTAACCTCTGAAAAAATGTTGTGAAGCACCAATGGCCTTGAAAAAATCTAGGGAGCTGATGTAAAGGACATCCAGTTCATACTGACAATTGTTGAACAAATTACTTGTTGGAGATGGAGTTGCAGACACAATAAATACTTATCACTACTTTAAAATATGTTTTTTTGTACTCAGGAGAAGAGTCTGGAAGTGTGGTTTCAGAATGAGCTTATCAAAGAGTAAGAAGAGGATTAGGGCATAACTTTTAAAATAATAATGATAGCCTAGTGTGATTTATTTACCTTTTAGTAAATCAAGTTCTCAGAAAACTGAAATAAAAAAATCTTAACATTACATATGCAGGACTTAATCTGAATAATTATAAATTTTCATAAACATAATCTACATACCACACCATAGTAGCTGTGATATAGTAAATTAATAAGCTTTCTGTACTATGGTGTAGCTCTTTAATTCTAAGAGTAAAAAAGGTTCCATTATGTCACAGGACATCTATCTGGATGGTTAAAAAAATCCAATCACATATAACTGAAGAAAATATAGGTATTTTAGTGGAATAAGAATGTGATAAATGAAAACAGAAAAATAATTAAATATCTTCAATATTACTTAAATAAATATAACTAACAAAGATGTATCATGGAAGAGAGGGTAGTTCTGTAAAAACACATAAAATAACTTTCTAAGATGAAAATTTTACATATGTAAAAGCATTTGTCAAAGTAATAATAATTCCATTCATGCATTTGTTCATGTAAAACCAATAACTTACTTGTGATGTCACAGAAAAAATTCAATCAATCATCAAATGGAAAAGGAAATTTTAATAGGTAAGAAACTAGTGGCCTTTAAGCTGATAATGTGTTTGTTTGAATAAAAAATATTATTACTTTAAAATAATCAACTTAGCAAAATACATAAAAAAGAACATGTCACATGAACATCTTAATTTTTGGTATGTGTTGAAACATCAGGACATCTACTCATATTCTTCATCAACAGAGTCATACGTCTTAGTAGATGCTGCCATGTTTAGGCAGGTTGTCTTCTCTAATTATCCTCAGTCCCCACCATTCCATAGTGTCCCCAGTAGAGATATTACTGACATTTGTCATTTATTGCCATAATTTAGCTGTTGTTTTTCACAGTCAGCTTGCCTTCATTTTAATTTTTATATACCATGTAGGCATCTCAGTGTTTCACTCTTGCTGTGAGACAGCCATAGATCCCTTCTGACCTAGAGATTTTATTCTCTTTTTCAAAATTATTTTCCCTAAAAGAACAGAGCCTATAAGCCTCCAAATAGTGCATTTAAACTCAATCACATCTAGAAAACAATGCTAAACTATTCAGAAAGAATGAAGAGAATAAATGAATTCTCCAAACCCAGAGCTAATGAGTGCCAGCTCTGAAAATAAAATTCTTGATTCTTGACATCTGGCCTAGTGTGCCTAGGAAGTATAATCAGTTACTCTGATCAGTTATTTTAATAATTGAAGTAAACTACTTAACAGTTAAACATTATATATGAAAAATACTTAAATTAGCTTAGATATAATCAAATAATTTCAGTTTTTAATTCCAAATAATGAAGTGTTTGGTTGTAGGGTATTAGATCTTTCATGGAAGAAAGTAGTCCCATAAGTCTAAGTACAAATTTCAAATGTAAAATAAAACTGATCAAGCCAGGGACCAGGTTTGGCAAAAAGTATTACATGATATGACTTGTAAAATGTCAATTATTGTGAGCAATTTTAATAAGACCTCATCAGAGCACATTGCATGTTCTCGTAAAGGGGAAAAGTAGTAAATATCAGCATGTATTGAAAACTTTATACCCACTATACATCAGGCTTTCATTTTACCATTTAATTTTCATGGACATGGTCGGGATAGGGTATTGTTATCATCCCTATTCTTTAGTGAGAACTGAGATTTACAAAACAATAAGTAAATTTTCCAAAATTAATTACTAATAATTTGTACACAGACCATTTCCAAATTCATGAGGTAATTGCTGTTTTAGTTACTTTGGGCCATTAAAACAAATTACAGTAGACAGGGTGATTAATCAGAAAACGCTTGTTCTCACAGTTCTGGAGGCTGGAACATTTAAGATAAAGGTGCTTGCACATCCAGTGACTGATGAGGGCCTATTTCTTTGCTTGCACATGGCCATTTTCTCATTATATACTGACATGGCAGAGACTGAGAGAGAGAAAGAGATTATCTCTTTGGTGTCTCTTCCTATAAGAGTATTAATCTCATTCACCAACTAATTACCCCCCAAGGGCCCACCACTGAATACTATCACATTGGGGAGTAGGGTTTCACCATATGAATTTTGAAGGTACATAAACATTCAGTTTTAGCAATTGCCAACAGTATTACTCTTACACAACCATTTTTCTCACTTAAATATTTTCAATCAATTATTTAATAAATGGAAGCAGTGGCATTACTTTGGTATAACCATAAGAATTTATCTAGGAGATAGGTATGTGTGTGTGTGTATGCTTTTCGTGGGGGAGAAGTTTGTGAAATAGAAGCAGTGGATTGAGAATCTGGATAATAAGAAAATATTCTATTGATGCTGGTGATTTTAACGTAACACAGGAGTTGCCTGTCCACTGATTCAATCAGCAGGTATTTCAGTATGAGGCATACTTGGTGACTAAGCTTTCATGTGGTAATCTGAGGTTAATATTTACGTAGAATTAGAGTTATAACTCACATAAATTCACACAGAAACATTTTTACATTGCCTACTGAATTTTATACATATATCCAAGAAATGAAGTATATGGTGTCCACCTTTCTCCAGGGATTTATAGGATAATTAGACAAACTCTTCCAACAATTATAAAAATAAGAACTGAAATAACAAATGTATATTCTGAATTATAAAAAGCATTCAAAATAACAAAAAGCTTATATCTTTGATCCCAGTAACCTATTTTAATTTTCTTTTTAAAATAAAAGTTTTAGAGGCAAAAAAAAAGCCATAACTAAACCAAGTACAGATAAAGGAAATAGGAATGAGAAACAGTGTATGTGTTTGTGTATGTGTGGGCATGCCTATAGGTATAGTTGCGTGTGAATTTAAGTGAACACATTTACTAATTGAATAAAATCCAGTGTTTTATGTGTATATTCATGTTTGTGTTGTGTTTTGGAGTTGTTATTCAGCTTTTACAGAATATTCAAATAGAAAACCAAATAGGATTGTCACCTATATTGCATAAATAACCAGAGAAAAGTCACTCAAATGGCCATAAAAGAAATGTTGAAAATAAATGCAAAAAGGATAATATTTAGGATAAGAATGCCCACATGTATTACAGTCCCCAAAAAGCAATTAAGCAGAAGAAATTGCTTTTAGAGCTTGGAAAGATTTAAATAGTTACCATTAAAGTTTGAGTTGGATGTTACTCCATGAAGAGAATATATCCTTAAACACTGCTGCCCTGTGCATCAGAATATACTCACTTTGTGGACAAAGACATAAAGGCTCCGATATTGGACCTGTTGCTGGTTAGGAATGTCATGACAAATGGGATCTAATTAAACTAAAGCGCTTCTGCACAGCAAAAGAAACTATCATCAGAGTGAACAGGCAATCTACCGAATGGGAGAGAATTTTTGCAATCTATCTATCTGACAAAGGGCTAATATCCAGAATCTACAAAGAACTTAAACAAATTTATAAGAAACAAACATTCCCATCAAAAAGTTTGCAAAGGATATGAACAGGCGCTTTTCAAAAGAAGACATTTATGTGGTCAACAAACATATGAAAAAAACTCATTATCACTACTCATTAGAGAAATGCAAATCAAAACCACAATGACATGCAATCTCATGCCAATTAGAATGGCAATCAATAAAAATCAGAAAACAACAGATGCTGGAGAGGATGTGGAGAAATAGGAATGCTTTTACACTATTGGTGGGAGTGTAAATTAGTTCAACCATTGTGGAAGACAATGTGGTGATTCCTCAAGGATCTAAAACTAGAAATACCATTTGACCCAGCAATCCCATTACTGGGTATATACCCAAAGCATTATAAATCATTCTACTATAAAGACACATGCACATGTATATTTATTGCGGCACTATTCACAATAGCAAATACTTTTGAACCAACCAAAATGCCCATCAATGATAGACTGGATAAAGAAAATGTGGCACATATGCAGCATGGAATACTATGCAGCCATAAAAACAAATGATTCCATGTCCTTTGCAGGGACATGGATGAAGCTAGAATCCATCATTCTCAGCAAACTAACACAGGAACAGAAAACCAAACACCGCATGTTCTCACTCATAAATGGGACTTGAACAATGAGAATATATGGGCACAGGGAGGGAAACATAACACACCGGGACCTGCCAGAGGGTGTGGGGCAAGGGGAGGAATAGTATTAGGAGAACTACCTAATGTAGATGACGGGTTGATGGGTGCAGCAAACCACCATGGCTGATGTATACCTATGTAACAAACCTGCACGTTCTACACATGTATCCCAGAACTTAAGTATAATAATTTTTTAAAAAAGAAAGGTCTTTGTTAATATTTCCCCCTTTTTCTTTATATAAATTTAATTTGCAGTTGGGTGGGGCATGGTGGCTCACACCTGTAATCCCAGCACTTTGGGAGGCCAAAGTGGGAGGATCACCTGAGGTCAGGAGTTCAAGATCAGCCTGTCCAACATGATGAAACCCTGTCTCTACTAAAAATACAGAAATTACTACTGGGAGGCTGAGGTAGGAGAATCTCTTGAACTCGGGAGGGAGAGGTTTCAGTGAGCCGAGATCATGCCACTGCACTCCAGCCTGGATTATAGAGTGAGGCTCCGTTTAAAATAATAATAATAATAATAATTCACAGTTGTAAGCAACCTAAATTTAAAATATTTCTTAAGAAAAAGATTGAGACTTTATGTTTTAAATAATTGTGTTTTTATGACAGAATACCTACACACACACACACACACACACACACACTCAAAACACACCAACAAACTAAAGAATGTTTTCTGTTATATATCAAATCATACTTTTATTAGTGTTGTTAATTTTATTTTATTTCTCTCTGTGTGTTTTCCTCTCTCATCAATTTATCTATTACCTATCTCTTAATCCATCCATTCATCCTTCCATTCAATCTTCTATTACTTTTAATATTTTTAAATAAACTGCCTTGTTGCTTTGATTTGTATTAATGTAGACTGGCAGAACATGAAATGACAGAAAGACTTTTATTTGCACGGAATCTTCTGAAATCAGCTAATAATTCACTATGGATTCTATTTACTCAGATTAATAACTGTGCAGAAATGTCATTATCTGAAGAGCACAAATCTGGGGATAGACAGAATTTTAATCACGGACTCTGTCATTGACTGACTGTGTGATTTTGGTTGCTTAAATAATCCAGATTCTAGTCTCCTCAATTATAAAACAGGAATAATAATGGACTTAACTTTATTATAGGTTAAGCAACATAAATTGCTTTGGGTATTCAAAGAAGATAATTAATTGCCGTGGATTAGGAATCTGAAATAGAAGCTTGAATTCCCAGGAGTGAAACAAATTTAGGAATACTTGCATGACTATTGGAGAACCAGGCCACTTAACAGGTATACATATGCCCCTCTGACCACCTCCTAGATGTTTTCTGCCATGTCAGTAGCAGGCAGAGGACCAGCTGGCTTAGTGTCTATATTGGTTACATGTGGCAGCTCAAACAATGTGATGTGAACTATGGAGGGAGACACTTCACACTTAACATCTGTTCTTCAGATTCCCCAACAGGATGCCTCCAAATATGAAATGAAACTCATCAATAGCAAGCTGGGGAATGAGTCTAAATGGATGACATTTTGGAATAACATATTTGACACTTGTGAGGTCCACCAGTTGTGGCTTAATCAAGAAAGCCAGCAGATATCTACAGTATTCATCTCTTAGGCAAACACATCTAAAAATAAACACATCCATTTGTCTTATTTTAAATCCATATTTTAACTTTCAAAATATTTCAATGGATATTTTGCAACACAATTATGCTAGTTTTTACAATTTTCTCCCCTAGTGAGTAAAAGAACAAGAGAATACAAATTCCTTGGCATATCAGTTATTTAGTCATTTCAAATTTTGATATTCCCAGAAGTCGTAAGATTCTTCTCTCACAGATGTGATCATAAAACACATTTGATTTACCACCTTTTAGTCTTCTGTTTTCTACAAATTAGCTCTCTTGTGCAAATGGAGAAATAGTATATGTATTTGGTACTAAATTTCCCTCGTAATTGTCAGAACCTCACCACTTATTGTTTTGTAGGAACTGGGCTTTAAAAAAAATCAGACATTATGATAATTTTGATATTAACACTCTTCTGAAAGACTCAGTGAATGCACTAGTCATCTATATTCACTGAATAAAAGCAAAATAAGACAAACTTATTCCATAGTATAGTACTTTAGGTTTGCTAATTTAAAAAAATCAGTTTACAAATATTATTTCTGAGAGACAATAGCTTTTCTCTAGGATACATCTACATACATACAACTGAAGAAAATAGCTTTTATATTTACTTTATCTCTTGTAGGAGTTGTATAGCTATGTAAAGTATTGTAATGCAAGAGGTACATCATAAAAACTGCTTTGTTGTATGTTGTGTGCATGTGTATTTGTGCATTTACATATAGACAGTATACTCACTGTTGTTTAGTAGCACATTTTATGATGAATGATGGAACCAGTACAAATTAAGTGTGAATTTGACTTATGAACTCTTCACATGCAGTACCTCATAAACATTACAAGTTAGAGAATGTAGGGACTTGAATCCACAAACCACAGATGTCAAGATAAATACATTATGTTTTGATTACTTGAAACTGCCTGTACAATTGAATTTACAGTTGTTTTTTAAAAAAGAAAATAGAACTGAGAAGAAGTGCTACAGCAATCATACTCTGCGATTTAAAAGAAAATAAATACCACTAGTTCATGCCCAGAAAAAAATAAAAAAATAAAACTATGGGAACTTTATTACCCTTATCTATATTCTCCCACCTGCAAGAAAAAAAAAATGCCTCTCCTCACAATGAATAACACTAGGTAGAGGAAATATCTCTGCTTAGTTTTAGAAGAAAGAGAAAAAAAATCATTGCAAAACATTCATATGCAAATAAGAATCTGAAGGAAAAGGCAATGGGGAGGATAGGGCATGATTTCACCACTGGGAGGGAGATACAGCCTGGCAGGTGCATAGCTACTTTTTCGTAGTTAGAGCCATCTACATAAAGGTAGAAACCAAAGGAAGTCTAAATCAGAAAAATAATCATCAGTATGTTACATTTAATGTGAAAACATACTTTGTAGAATATATGAACTGCAATCTCATTTTGAGAGCTAACCTAGAATTATGATTATATTTGGAAACCTGATTCTGTTTGCCTCATTTGGTCCATTTTGTTGTACATTAAGGCTTGAACATAAGGTTTGTGATATAAAGTTGTCTTTAAATAGGCTCCATGACATTTAAAGTTAACTGCTGGGAAATAATCAACTTTTCAAATTCATCATAGCCTTGCTTTGGGGAAATTAGTTTTGATTTGATGAGTAAATGGATCACTAAGGATCACTGAGGTGGGGAGTACTGATGGGAAGCAGTCATAGAAACCAGTAGTTAATATATGTCATGGGTAATAATATCAGGTATTTTGATGCTAGTGTCAATGAGATCCAGCATGCCAGTTAATTTCAAACAAAACAAACAACAACAAACACTTTGATTGTGTTATACAACCTGCAGCCATTATTTTTTATTAGCTGTTATCTACCTACCTGTATCTTTATCCATTGATTATTTCATCAATGTGTGTACGTGTGTGTGTGCATTTCAGAATGGAATGAGTGATGAAAATTATATTCTTTCATGCATAGATATTTGTAGAGGGCTTGCTGTATGCCAGACATCAAGCAATTGTAATTGAGTAAAATAGTATTTAAAAACTACTCACTGCCTTCAAGGAGCACAGTGTCTAACTAGGGAACTCAGACAAGTAAATAGGCAATTGCAGTGTAGGATAGTTCTGGGGATCAGAAAACAAAACCCACAAATGAAAGCCTCAGCAGCAGACTCAGAAACAAACGTTTTTCTCTGACCTTCTGTCCTCTTGTCTCTCAGTTCTAACTCCGATTAGGCTAGCCATAGAAACTAGAATCTCTCTTCCACAATGGTGGGTCATAGTAAACAGAATCTCTTTTCTTCAAAGCCAGCCATAAAACCTAAATATATTACCTAATTTTTCCTCTGCCTTATCTGTGTAAAAACTGGCCATAAACAAATTATGTGACTTACCTTGTTTGACTGAACATCTTAAGAACCCCCCAATCCAAAGATGGTGCTGCCCCATACCCAGAAGAAGAAAAAATACATGCTTAGAAATGTCAAGAAAAATCTATACTGACAGGCTTTGCTGGGTTTCCCCACCCAGTCTATTAGCATTATTAGATCATATACCTTTCTGCCAATAGTATTTCTACACAGCTGTCCATACTTTGTTAACTTCCCCTCTATTTAGGGTCTGCATTTGGAAGGCTGCTGTGTGTATTCATTAAATGAATTTCTAAGCCTTTTTTCCTCCTAATCTGCCTTTTGCAACTAGATTTTTAGTAAAACCACAGTGGGACTAGGGCCTTGGCATCCACAATAGCAAATCTTATAATACAAGGTTAAGTACAGAATGAACTCACAATAAGGAACATAAAATTTGAGGAGCTTCATATAAATTATGGAATTAGCCAATTATTTCCCAATGAAAACAATAACATGCAGCACATAGTTTTCTGAAACAGAGACAATACCTTCTTACCCATTAATTTTATCACTGATAAAATGATTAATTTTATCATTAATTTTAAATTGAAGCACAATGGTCATTACTTGCCCAAGCTTAAGAAGCTAATTATTAGGCAGGGCTCAGTGGCTCACGCCTGTAATCCCAGCACTTAGGGAAGCTGAAGTGGGCAGATCACAAGGTCAGGAGATCGAGACCATCCTGGCCAACATGGTGAAACCCCATCTCCACTAAAATGCAACTACAACAAAAAAAATTTAGCCAGGCATGGTGGCACGCACCTGTAGTCCCAGCTACTCAGGATGGTGAGGCACAGGAATCACTTGAACCCGGGAGGTGGAGGTTGCAGTGAGGGGAGATTGTGCCACTGTACTCCAGCCTGGCAACAGAATGAGACTCCATCTAAAAAATGAAAAAAGAAGAAGAAGAAGCTAATTATTATCAGAGTTGTGAGTAGAATCCAGACTCCAAACATGAATCCAATGCTTTTTGCGTAAGTTATGCTGCTTCAATGTAAATTTCTTTTTTTAAACAGTAGAAATTAGTGGAAATGAAACATTTGTAAAGTTAACTCTTCTTGCTTGTTTTTCCTTTATTTTTTTCTCCAGTTTGCAATGACATCAGTATAACAAATAAAAAGTGCAAATAGATAACTAATCAAATTAATGGCTTACAACTGAAGAATAACATCATATAAATGCTACTACTGATCTTACAAGTCCCATCCAATTCAATGAAAGCTATATTTGGGGATTCCACAACTCAGTCTGCTCTTAGTAGGGGTGAAGGAAATTGTTTCTCTATCTGGCCAAACTAATATGGAGTTTGGGATACATTCTGTTAAATTCTGTACTTCCATATGATGTAATAAATCCAAAATAATACATTTATGCTACATACAATGTTTCATGAGAGATTTAATGAACAAACATTCTGTTCCCCCTCTGTGATACTATTTTAAAAAAAGACTCATTATTATGATTAAGTATAACTGCAGGTGTAGGTTGCCTAGGTTAATAAAGACCAGAAAAATGAACTGGCCATTCTAGAACTTTGTTTTCAGCTGGAGGAGAAGCGATAACATCAATAACATTGTAGGCTCGCTCTTGGCTCTAATTGACACTCAGAATAATAGGACTGAATATTAAAGCTCATCTCAACCAAACTGAATTGGCAACAATGCCTTTACATCCACAACTGATTTTCAGGTTAACTGTAAGCCCAGTGCCTTTGTTATGGAGGCAGATCAATTTTATCCAAAATATATGTTTAAACTGATTAGCATTTTGGCTCTGGAATCAGTGACGCCTGTGAATCTGTTCCAACATTCACTAGCTTGCTGAGACTGAACATTTCTGAGATGCTCTGAGTTCTAGTATTTTTTAACCATAAAATAAATGTAAAATTTCAGGAAAGAGATCAAGAATTTTTGGTATATACAAAGTGCTAAGTAATAAATGTAGACTCATTAAATGTGAAGGTAGAATATAAAAACAAAGTGGCGATAAAGGAAGTTATCTATTTGCAATTTGTGAAATCTGGACTTTACCAGTCTAGAGCAGAGGTCAGAAAATGTTTTTTCAATAGGCCAGATAATAAGTGCTTTAGTTTTTTGTAGGGTATATAATCTTGGTTGATCTCAACTCACTGTAGCAAAACAACAGCCACAGAGTATATATAAATAAATTTAAATGGTTGTATTCTCACACATACACACACAGTTTACTAAAACAGATGGGAGGGAGTGACATAATCAAGATGTTGCATTTGGCAATTCCAAGCTTCTGTCCCTCCGTAGAAATATTGAAAAATGAACAGAAGCCATCAGAATCAACATTGTCAGAACACTGGAAAACAGACAGGTTTATAGCAACCCCGTGAACACTAAAGCAATAAAAAATCAATGTAAAAATAATTTTAAAATCATTGTGGCAGTTTTACTTTCCCTTTCTATAATCACTCCCCAGTTGAAAAGCAGTCTTGCAGACAGCAGCCCATGTTCCCAGTGTGAGAGAATGGTCCCTGTTTCCAGAGGTAGAAGAGACAACTTTATTTGCAAATTATTTTGGCCCATTTTAACCTATATGGGGGCTACCTGAAGGAATGATGTAAGGTACTTTCATCTGTTTTGTCTATTGCACAGCAATAGACGGTAAAAGTGGTAGGAATTGCTTAAATATATTATTGGACTCCTAAGAAACCTAAGCTTGAGGCAAAAGACATTTAAGATATATAAACGAACATCCAAGGCCTGGAAACACAATAAGAACAGAGATTTTCCCTGGAAAATTAGGGTAATAAAAAACACCCATGAATTAGGAGAGATTTGAAAAGCCTCATACATGCCAATTATACAGTGCATGTTCAAAAAAGACCTAAGAAGTCCTTAAGTTTTATAGTGTTTTGTAGCTTTGTTTTGTCTGATACTGATCACTGACCTTTTATTTTTTCAACCTTTATTTTAAGTTCTGGAGTACATGTGCAGATGTGCAGGTTTGTTACATAGGTAAATGTGTACCATGATAGTTTGATGCACAGATCAACTCATCATCTAGTTATTAAGCCCAGCATCCATTAGCTATTCTTCCTGATGCTTTCACTCCTGCCACCCCCTATCACCCTCAACAGGCCTCAGCATGTGTTGTTTCCCTCCATGTGTTCATGTGTTCTCATCGTTCAGCTCTCACTTGCAAGTGAGACAATGCAGTGTTTGGTTCTGTTCAAATCTGTTCCTGCATTAGTTTGCTGAGAATAATGGCTTCCAGCTCCATCCATATCCCTGCAAATTATATAATCTTGTTCCTTTTTATGGCTACATAATATTCCAAGGTGTATATGTACCACATATTCTTTATTTAGTCTACAGATCCCTAACCTTAATTCAAGTCTGGCTACGTGTTTAAAAAGGTACTCAGGACAGAACCAAACAGTAAAGACAGAGAGAGGTTGTTTGGTTGGTTGTCGTTTTTTTTTTTTTTAGTTTCTGGTGTTCAAGAAAACTCTGTCAAACACTAGCTGAACAAAAGCTAAAGAACAGAAACTTTTTTCACAATATATGCAACAAATGTATTTGTTGAAAAACAGTAGAGAAAAGTCACTATACCAACAGTTTATTACAGCTTTCAATAATTAAAAAGAGCAAACCATGAGAAGCAGGAACATTTGATTTCCAGAATCACATTGTAATATTTGTGTCCATTTAACAAAAAAAATCACAAGGCATACAAAGAAATAGGAAATAAGACCTATTTAATGGAATAAAATAAATTAGCAACTACCATCCCTAAAAATGTCTGGATATTGTAATTAACAGAAAAAAATTACCTTAAAAAATTATCTTAAATATGCTCAAATAATAGAAGGAAAACTTGAACAACCAAATAAGAAAAATCAGAAAAATAATAAGTGAACAAAACAAAAATAGCAATGAAGAAAAATTATAAAAGGAACCAAAAATTCTGGAGCTTTAAAGTATAAAAACTGAAATAAAAAAATTAAATAGAGAAATTCAACACAAATTTTACCAGCCAAAAGGCAAAATCAGGAAATTGACAATAGAGCAATAGAAATTAACTATTCTATCAAGTCTAAGAAGTAGAAAAAAAATAATAAAGAAAAGTAAATGACACCTAAGGGGCTTGTGAGATGCCATCAAGAGGAGCAACATATGAAGGAGAATCCCAGAAAAAGCAGACAGAGAGAAATTGCAGGACAAATATTTGAAGAAATAATGGCTGAAAACTTTTCATATTTGATGAAAGATATAAATATACAAATTCAAGAAACATGAATAAACATCAAGTAAGATAAAGAGATCCACACTGAGACATATAGTTGTCAAATTATTGAAAGCTAAAGACAGACAATTTTTGCAAGTAGCTAGGGAAAATCAATTTATTATGTACAAGGAATTTTCAATAAGATTAAGAGCTGATTTATCATTATAAATGATAGAGGTCAGAAGATAGTAGAATAACATGTTTTAGTCCTGAAACAAAGATAAAAAAAAAAACTGCTTACTGAGAATTCTACATCTAGCAAAACATTCTATCATAAAGAGTAAAAAATTAAGAGATTTACAGAGAAACAAAAAATGAGGGAGTTTATAAATTGCAGACCTGTCCTATGAAAAATGGTAAAGAGATTCTTTCAGGTCGAAATGAAAAGGCACTAGACAATAACTTAAATGTGAATGAAGAAATAAAGGTTTCCTGGAAAAAGTAAGTCCATGGGCAATTATAAAACTTAGAATTATTTTATTTTTAGTTTATAACTCCATTTTTATTTTCTATATGTGTTGAAAAAAATCATAAAAATAATTATAAATTTATGTTATTCAGCACAGAATATATATGAATGTAATTTGTGAAACAACATGAAATGGGTAAGGGGACTGCACAGACACAGAATGTTTTATGCTATTGAAGTAATGTTGGGATTAATTAAAACATAGATGATTATAAATTTAAGATGTTAAACACAATCCTTATGGGAGTTAGAGACAATATTTTTAAAATGCACACATAAGAAAATGATAAAGGTTTTAAAACATTTCACTATAAAAAATCAACTAATCACAAAAAAGTATTAACGGAAGAAATGAACAAAAATTTATAAGCCATGTAGAAAACAAAATGCAAAATGGCAGAAGTAATCCTCATCAATAATTTTTATAAATGTCAATGAAGTAAAATTTCCAATTGAAAGGAAAACGTTAGTGTAATGGATTTTAAAAATCATACAACTAGATATTTTCTATAAGAGACTCATTTTAGATCCCAGCCACAAATAAATTGAAAGTGAAACACAGAAAAATATATTCCATACAAATGGTAACCAAAAGAGAGGTGGTGTGGCTCTACTAATATGACATGAATTAACTTTAATTTAAACACTGTTACTCTTGAAAAAAGGGCATTAAACACCAATAAAACGATCAATTTTTCAAGAAGATAGAACAATTATAAATATGCATGCACCAAACAACAGAGCTCCCCAAAATATACGAAGCAAACATTGGCAAAATTGAGTGGAAGAACAGGTAGTTCTGCAATAATAGTTGGAGACATCAATAGGCCACTGCAAATTCTTGATAGAAAATCTGCAACAAGTAAATAGAGGAATTAAACAATAGTATTTATAGAAATCAACTATACCTAACAGACATACATAGAACATTCCACCCAACAACAGCAGAATACATGTTCTCTCTGACAGACTATATGTTAGGCAACAAAGAAGTCTTCAATAAATTTTAAAAACATTAAACTTATACAAAACATCTTCTCAGATCACAATGGAATGGAATTTTAAATCAACAACAAGAGAAAACTGGAAAATACACAAATATATGGCAATTAAACTATGGGCACCTTTTCAAGCAATGGGTCAAAGAAGGGAAATTACAAATACCTTAAGATAAGTAATAGCAACACAACATACTAAACTTATGAGATGAAGCAAAAGCAGTGCTCAGATGAAAATGTATAGTTGTAAGCACCTACATTAAAAAATGTACAAAAGATCTCAAATCAATAACATAACTTCCGACTTTCATGAGCCAGAAAAGAAGAGCAAACTAAACACAAGTAGAAGAGAAGAAATAATAATAATTAACATGGAAATAAATAAAATAGAGGACTGGAATTATAGATAAAGAAATAATAAAACCAAAAGCTGTTTCTATTAAAAAAATCGACAAAATTGGCAAATTAAGCTATACTAACAAAGAAGAAAACGGATAATAAATAATTGAAATAAGAAATAAAATTGGGGTTATTACTACTGACCTTTTAGAAGTAAAAATGATTATGAGAATATGACCAAATTAGGCCATAAACTAGATAATTGAGATGAAATTGATGAATTTTCTGGAAACACAAAAATTGCCTAAGCTCACTCAAGAAGAAATAAAAAATACATGTCAACAGACCAATAACATGTAAAGAAATTGAAATTGTAGTAAAAAACCTCCCAATCAAGAAAATTCTAATACCAGATGGGTTTACTAGTGACTTCTAGGATACATTTAGAGAAGAACTGGCAGCAACTGTTTGGCAAACTTTCCAAAATCAGAAATGGAGATATTACTTATTTATTCATTCTATGAGGCAAGCATTTCCCATAGTGTGAATTCAGATGAAGAGATCACAACTAACGAATATTACAGGAGATTATTCTTTACATATATAGATGCAAAAACCTTTACCAAATACTAGCAAACCAAATTCCTAAACAGGATTATGCCCTATGACCAAGAAGAATTTATCTCATAAATGTAAGTATAGTTCAATATAAAATCAATCAATGTAAAGCAGCACATTGAAATTACTGATGTAATACAGCAAAGAAGAAAAAAAAGAGATCAACTCATTTGACACAGAAATAGCATTTGTCAAAATTCTATACTCCTGCATGATAAAAGTCACTGAGTATATGGAAGAAAATTTCCTTAACCTAATAAAGGACATTTATAAAATACTCCCAGCTAACAACGTATTCAGTGGTGAAAGACTGAACACCTTCCTTTAACATTATGAACAAGACAAGGATGTCTGCTTAAATCACTAGTGAACATTGCAACTTCTAGCAGAGCAATTAGCAAGAAAGACAAATACGAGACATCCAAACTGGAAAGAAAGGAATAAACTATTTCTCTTTTCAGATTATATGATTCTATATATAGAAAATCTGAAAAAAAAATCCATCAGACATCTACTAGATCTAATAAAATTTCAGCAAATTACAAGGTCAAAACACAAGATTCATTCGTGTCTCTATATGCTAGAAATAAATAATCCAAAAATAAAATTAGGAAACAAATTCCATTTATGATAGTATCTAAAAGAACAAAATACCTAAGAATAAATTTAATGAAGAATGTGAAAACTTGTACGCTGAAAAGAGCAAAGTATTACTGAAAGAAATTAAAGACGTTCTAAACAAATTGAAAGCAACACAATGTTTATGGATTGAAGGCAAATTAATTGTGCTGAAATAGCAGAACTACCAAAGCTATCTAAAGTTTCAATACAATATTTAGCAAAATTCCAACAGTCATTTTACTGAAACAGAAATGCCAATTCTCAAATTCCTAGAATTTTACATGGAAATCCTAAAGAAAAAAAGACAAAGTTGGTGGATTCACACGCTGCCATTTCAAAATTTACCAAAAAGCTATAGTAATTAAAACATTATGGAATTGGCATAGGGATAGATATATAGATAAATGGAATAGAATTGAGTCCAGAAATAAACCTATATATTTACGGCAAATTTATTTTCAACAAGCCTGCCAAGTCTATTCAATGGACAATGAAAAATCTTCAACAAATGATGTTAGAACAACTGGATTTCTACATGCAAATTAAGGTTAGACTTCATCCCATATACAAAAATTAATTCACACCACATATAAAAAATTTACTTATATACAAAAATTAATTCAAAAAGAATCAATAACTCAAATATGAGAGCCAAAACCATGATACTCTTAGAGATAAATCTTTATGAACTGGGATTTGGCAATGGATTCTTAAATATGACACCATAAACACCACCACAACAAAAAACAAATAGATAAGTTGAACTTTATTAAAATTAAAAACATTGGTTCATCAAAGGACATTATGAAGAAAGTGAAAGCCTATGGAATGGAAGAAAATATTTGTGAATCATATATCTCATAAGGATTTAATATCCAAAATATATAAAGAAACTTTATAACTCAGCAACAGAAGACAAAGAGACTATTTTTTAATTTCCAAAGTTTATTGGGGAGCAGGTGGTATTTGGTTACATGAGTAAGTTCTTTAGTGGTGATGTGTGAAATTTTGGTGCACCCATCACCCAGACAGTGTACACTGCATGCTATTTATAGTCTTTTATTCCTCACCCGCCCCCAACCCTTTCCTTGAATCCCCAACGTCCACTGTGTTGTTCTTATGCCTTTGTATCCTCATAGTTTAGCTTCTACTTATGAATGAAAACATATGATCTTTGGTTTTCCATTCCTGAGTTACTTCACTCAGAATAATAGTCACCAATCTCATCCAGGTTGCTGTGAATACCATGAATTCATTCCTTTTTATGGCTGAGAAGTATTCCACTGTGTGTATATATATAAAACATATATCACAGTTTCTTAATCCATTCATTGATTGATGGGCATTTGGGTTGGTTCCACGTTTTTGCATTGCAAATTGTGCTGCTATAAACATGCGTGTGCAAGTATTTTTTTGTATAATGACTTCTTTTCCTCTGGGTACATACCCAGTAGTGAGATTGCTGGATCAAATAGTGGTCCTACTTTTAGTTCTTTAAGAAATCTCCACACTGTTATCCATAGTGATTGTACTAGTTTACATTCCCACCAGCAGTGTAGAAGTGTTCCCTTTTCACCACAGCCATGCCAATATTTGCTTTTTTTTTTTTTTTTTTTTTTTTTTTTTTTTTTTTTTTTGATTATGGCCATTCTTGCAGGAGTAAGGTGGTATCGCATTGTGGTTTTGATTTGCATTTCCCTGATCATTAGTGATGTTGAAAAAATATGTTTGTTGGCCATTTGGGGATCTTCTTTTGAGAATTCTCTATTCATATCTTTAGTCCACCTTTTGATGGGATTGTTTGTTTTTTTCTTGTTGATTTGTTTGAGTTCATTGTAGATTCTGGATATTAGTCCTTTCTCAGATGTATAGATTGTGAATATTTTTTTCCCACTCTGTGGACTGTCTGTTTACTCTGCTTACTGTTCCTTTTGCAGTGCAAAAGCTCTGGTATAAAAATAGGCACATAAACCAATGGAACAGAATAGAGAACCAAGAAATAAGCCAAAATACTTACAGCCAACTATTCTTCAACAAAGTACACAAAAACCTAAAGTGGGGAAAGGACACCCTTTTTAACAAATAGTGCTGGGATAATTGGCTAGCCACATGTAGAAGAATGAAACTGGATCCTCCTCTCTCACCTTATACAAAAATCAACTCAAGATGGATTAAAATCTTAAATCTAAGACCTGAAACTGTAAAAATTCTAGAAGACAACATTGGAAAAACCCTTCTAGACATTGGCTTAGGCAAGGATTTCATGACCAAGAACCTAAAAGCAAATGCAATGTAAAGATAAATTGCTAGGAATTAATTAAACTAAAAAACCTGTTTTTAAAATGGGCAAATAACTGGTATAGACATTTTCAAAGAAAATGTACAAATAGCCAAGAAGTACATAAAAAGATAGTTAACATCATTAGTCATTCAAGAAATACAAATCAAAACCACAGTGAGATACTATTTCACTACTACACAATTTTTTTTTTGTTTTGTTTTTGAGATAGAGTCTCACTCTGTCACCCAGGCTGGAGTGCAATGGCATGATATCGGCTTACTGCAGCCTCCTCCTCCTGGGTTCAAACAATTCTCCTGCCTCAGCCTCCCAAGCAGCTGGGACTACAGGCACACAACACTGCACCTGGCTTTTTTTTTTTTTTTTTTTTTTTGTATTTTTAGTAGAGATGGGGTTTCATCCTGTTGGCCTGGCTGGTCTCGAACTTCTGACCTCAGGTGATCCAGCATCCCAGCCTCCCAAAGTGCTGGTAGCACGGGTATGAGCCATCAAGCCCAGCCTTCTTTGCAACTATTAGGATGACTGTAATGAAAAAAAAAAAAAAAAAACAGAGAGAAAGAGGACAGGGGGAGGAGCAAGGGTTGGCCAGGATGTGGATAAAGTTAAAGACACTTACATTGGTGATGGGAATATCAAATTGTGCACTTACTGTGGAAATCAATTTGGAGGTTCCTCAAAAGGCTGAAATAGAATAATTCCACTTCTGGATACATACCCAAAACAATTCAAGAGTGATTCAAACAGATACTTGTACTCCAGTGTTTACCACAGCATTTTTTTACAATAGTCAAAACATAGAAAAGCTCTAACAGATGAATCCTTAATCGATTAATAGATGAACAAAATGTCGTACATAAATACAAAGGATTATTTTTCAACCATAAAAAGGAATGAGTTTTGATACAGGCTACAGCAGGATGAACCTCGAAAACATTTTCTAAGTGAAATAAGCCAGACTCAAAAGGACAAATATTGTATGATTCCAAATATATGAAATATCTAGAATGGACAAATTCATAGAGACAGAAATTTATTAGTGATTAGTAGGGAGTGAGGCGAGAGTTAAATAGGTGCTATTGTTTTATGAGTATAGTTTTTGTTTGGAGTGATGAACTAATTTTAGAAATAGTTCTGATGGTTATACATTTTGCATGTAATTACTACTACAGAGTTATCCACTTAAAAATTTTTTAAATGATGTATTTATATCATATTAAAATTTAAAAAGCAAACAAATAGGAGGTGCCTAAGCTTGACTCATGTTCACTAATTTGCTGACCCCTTGATTGTGGCAGTGGTTAATATATTTTAGAATTTAAAATTCACTTAAAAAATGTGTTAAAACACAGATTGCTGTTTCCTTGGTATCCAAGAATTTGCATTTCTAATAAGTGTATGTATAATGTGGATGCTGTTGGTCTGTTGATCACACTTAAAAACCTGCTAGACTACATTATGCCTAAAACAGCTCCTCTGTCTCATCAATGCAGTTGTTTAATTGATTTGGTTTTTTTTCTTCAAGTAAAGTGATTAAGTTATTCTAATCTAATGTGCTAATATAGTTTGGCTCAGTCAGGCAAAATCAATCATACAAATGAAATCACTATCAGCTGAAAAGAAATGGAGACAAAGTTGGGATGAGATTAAATGTGAGAGCTGATGTCAGATCGCCTGGATGGAACTAAAATCCCAGTTCCATCAACTTTCTCCTCTGTAACATTGGAACAGCTAATGAACTTCCCTGAGATTTAGATTCCCTTGCCTGTAAAAGAGAATAAATAACAAAAAGTCCTCATAGAGTATTTTAAAGATTACATGGAATACTGCTTATAAAGTTATTAGCAAAATGGTACATAACAAGTCCTAATAAACAGTTACAAATGATAAAAAAAAAAGGACAGAGAATAACATTCATGATAAATCAATCTGAAAAATGCTGATGTAAAAAATTCTAGAACTCTCAGGATATCGTCATAAAGTCAGTGTATTAAAATAAATATGGCATAAACCCTCCAATCTGAGCCTTATAAAGAGAGGAGATTTGCTTATTGTGAAAAAGGGAAAGAGTGGAGGGTGTATGAGGTAATTATTAACAATATTAGTTTTATTAAATATTATCACATTTTATTAAGTGGGTATCAGCAACCTCAAGCTGGTGTTATTAACTGAACTTGGGAGAACATTTGAGCTCATGAACTATTCCTTGTTCTAAATCTGAGCTAAGTAAAAAATGTGATAAAGGAGTAAGTGCAGAAGCTAGTTAAAATGTGTTTTTCATTCTGCTCTTCCTTTACATATATATATATATTTTTTTAAGCCAAGTATAGGCTGAATTAAATATACTTCCTGTTGGCAGTGACAGTTCTGGCTTAGCATTACAGATGTCTTGATTTCTCCTATAGAAGTAACACACTTTCCTACTTTTGAAGACAGATTGTTACATTGATTCTATGATTGTTGTTAAGAGAAAAATTCCAACTGAATTAAATTTAAAGTAGTTTGAGTAATGAATGATTGGAAAATCAGGCAGCCCCCAGAATTACAACAAATTCAGAGACTCTAGCTCAGTCAAGTGGTGGAAGAAGATTTATGGACAGCAAAAGGAAAGGGAGGTACAGAAACAACTGGATTGGTTACAACTAGGCCTTTGCCTTATTTGAACATGGTTGGAACAGTTAGCTACATTTGGCCAAAACTCAGTAATTGGCACAGGTGCGGGCTGCAGTTGATTTACACCTCCACTTTTTATAGTTCACGATGTACAGAAGAACCTTTAGGTCAAACTTATATATGTAAGGAGGCATCTTTAGGCTAAACTTGATTTAACAATTTCCCCCTTTGGGTTATTTTCTCAATTTTGAGAGATTGACCAAAACTTTAGTTATTGATGTTACTATTAACATTGCTCTTGAAACTCACTGGGAAAGAGCAGAACACTGAGTTTGGCAAATTTAGGAACAAGGACTGAGTAGAGGGTATATCTTTATGCTGGAACATCCTGTTTACAGAAGAAAAAGCCGGGTCTTTTCTAGAATCTATGTGTTTCCTATGTTTTCTATAATCAAACACAGTTTGATTATGTTACTTTTAGCACAAGTGACTCCATTTTTGTTTGGTTTGGTATGTTGGGACTTAGAGCATGAGCTCAGTCCAAAACAATGGCCTCCCATAATTTTGTTTAAAAAAAAAAAATCCTCTTTTTTTGGTCAGGTTCTCACTTAGGTGAGGGTGTGACCAAAACTTAGGGCCTTAGCACCACTCTCAGTTACCATCATTTTGGGTTTCTGGTCTCAGCATGTCATTCATAAGTTACAGTGTCTTCACGGCTGCCCATTTCTTTCAGCTCTTGTCATTCTAGTTAGAGAGATCCTTTGATATTCTAGAGATGGCTGCATGCAAACATTTAAAATTTTTGAGAGAATACGGATCACCAGGGGGACTATTATTATGACTATCAGGAGGATAATACCAAGAGTTTGGAGTATGCTCCTTACCCGGGGTCTCCGTAAACAAAATCACCTAAAATTGAATAGATCAAAGAATGAGCTACATAGTCTACTAACTTGACTAAGGGGTCTCTTCATTAATCCCCTATAACTGAATCTCTGTAATACCTGACATTTTCTCCATAGGCTGTAAGTGCCAGCAGCTGTACAGATACTTCTGTTTAGCCATTAACTAATCCAGAGCAATTCTATTATCTAGCATAACTTTCACAAGAGAATTTAAAGTCTGTTGTGTAACCATGGCCTATACGGTAGAATCTGCTATAGAACCTATCATGAGGGGTACATTTTTAATCATTGCCACTTTATTCCAAACCACAAAAAAAGGACCTAAAAAATGATGACCTTTTAGAAGAGTGAAAACCTCCCAGCAATGTTCTCCTTAACCCATGATGTGAGTTAAGAGGAGTGAACCATTGTTCTGTTTCTGACTGATTATGAGGCAATGGCAATGTATGTACCATTAACGTTTCTTATCTACATTGGGCCTTCATTTTTGTCTATTAAGGTATGAGGTTATCTATGTATAAGGCTGGCTGCAAAATCCTTCACAAATAAAATTATACCACATAAGTGCACACAAGAGAACCCCTTTCAATTCTATTGTTCATAGAAGCATAAGCAAGGGAAAAATAATCAAAGTTAAGAGTCCCATGATAGCAGAGAAGTCTTGATCCATGATCTTGGGAAAACCTCTTCACATCAAGGATACCATCTTCTTCTGGTGAGAAAACCCCCTGGTTAGCTTTACCTTAAGGGTTCCAATGGGTGTACAGTTCCAAGAATGTAAAGGGAGCCTTCTCAGTTGTGAGACTGTGAACCCAAGGTTCAAGGTCCTGAAGTTTTGCTGTGGTGTAGATGCCAATGACAGTGTTTCTTTGATGTTCTCAGAAGATCCATCTTCAGGTTCTAGTTGTGAAGGGATTGATTGTCCTCAGTGAAACATAAAAACCTTACTTTACCTGGTAAAAATATACTGTAGTGTAATAATCTACTGTTATAATGATGGCAGCAGCACCCCATCTGGAGCAACCACTGCCATCACATCAGCTACAGCAGAGAAACATGGCCAGGAGCTGGGGACAAGTGGGAACCATGCCTCTTCTGAGTTGGTGGAGTTGGAGCTTCCTGGGATCAGCTGCAGCAGCCCAAGTAGTGGTTCCAGACCTGGGCCTCCCACGCCATGGAGCAGGCAGGAGACCTGTCCTTCAAGGTGCAGCTACAAATGCTCAAGCCATGGCTTCAGAGTCAGACATCTCTACACTCTTGGGGGCAAAGGAAAAACCCCTAGGACCTTGCAGGCTTGGAGGTATCTTCTGCTCTCACTTCCTGGCTCCTCCCCACTCTTGACACCTGCTCTGGCCTTGGAGCAAGGTTGTGGGTAGGCCCAGGTGCTGTTGCAGGTGCTGTTGCAGCCTGGTGGGTGTGCACATGCTTGGGGCAGTGCTGACACACCAGTACCATGCTGCCTCTGGCACCTGCCCAGGCTTTGGGCACTGATGAGCATGGGAGGGAAGCTGAGGAACTGCTGAGGGCAGCTTGGCACTGGCCTGCAGGCATCCCTTGGCACAAATAGCCTGGGTGCCATGAATGGCAGCAGGAGGCAGACAGGTTCCCACCCCAAAGGGGCGGGGGGGTCCTTGGTGAGGCCCTACCTTCAGGCCAGGGAGGGTGTGAAGGCTGGGGTCTGGGCTGCCAGTCCCAAGGACCAGAGTGTAAACTCGTGATGCCTTTTCTGGGGCCACCAATGGCCTCTCATGGACCAATCAGTGTGCATTTCCCTCCTTCTGAGACCCATAAAAGCCCCAGGCTCAGCCAGAACTGAGCAGACATTGGGACGACCAACTGCAGAGAGCAGCTACCAACTCCAGGGCCTCATCACTTCTGAGAGATGCAGATGTCGGGATGCCCAGCTGCAGAATGGAGGTGCCCACTCCAGGACACCCTCTGAGTTATTCTGTCACTCAATATAGCTCCTCTTTGCTCACCCTCCACTTGTCTGTATACCTCATTCTTCCTGGAGGCAGGACAAGAACTTGGGACATGCCAAATGGCAGGGCTAAAAATGCTGTAACACAAACAGGGCTGAAACATGCCCCTTGCTCACCATGTTGTGGGTGACAAGAAGAGAGAAGAGAAAAAGAGCTGTGATTCTATGGGAACCCAGACCTGGGAGCTCCCCAGATCAGAGCTGTGACTCCCGCTATGGGACCCTATGGTTCCTGGAGTCTGCACGCTTCCAGGCACAACTGTGTTCCCTTGTACCAGCCGTGGAAGCTATTTGTGGTGTGTCTGGTCCAGCCAAAGCCTTATAGTGACCTAGTACCCATGCTGGCACCTGGAGCTGCCTGTCCCAGCTACAGCAGCTGGTGTGCCTAACCGTGTGCAGTTAGCAGATCCCATACTCACTGGCTCACACACCCCTCGCCACTCCACTCCAGTCTCTTTGGAAGCATGGAATCCAGGCTAGTAGTGGGAGCTGAGCAGACCCAGTAGGCCCAAGCAAACTCGGGCAAAGGCACCACCAGCCACAGAGGTTTCCAGCCAGGAAAGCAACATCCCGAAGGATCCCATAACAATAACATTAGCCCTCTTGCATGGGAAAGCTTTTATACAACCAGAAAAAATGCACTGGAAGTGACAATTGAATGAAATTCCTCTGTAAATGTTTTAATGGAGCATCAGGTAGCAAAATATACCTGAAGTTTTGATTATTTTCTCAAAAATATGGGTTTGATAAACCAAACTTTGGTCATTAACTATTTTAGCAACTTATAAGTCACCACACCAATATATATTTGATTTGGATTGTTTTATCTTTTCTATGATGAGTCATGGGATGAAGAACCTTTCATAACAAAAGCTTTAAGGACTCAGGAAGGACAAGGCAGTATCCTAGTTCTCCATAAGTCCATGTTTAACATTGGACTTATGCCCTCTTGAATACTCGACATTTTTCTAACTTAGGTACATAGCACTCATAACTGATGGGTTATCATAAGTAATTTGACTTAAACTATGGAGTTTATTCAAATTGTATATCTAAACAATTTAAGGATTGGCTGATTTAGTATAAAAATTTGGCAAAGTGTTTTCTTGGTATTCAATTCATTTTGTTCTACTTGGGTTAGCAGTTTTATAACACAGTCAGTCTTTTCATCAAAGTTCCAGGAATTCTTATCCAGTTCAAATGATATGATTCTAAAGTTATCGGACCACCTGTATTCAAAAGTGCTTTTCAGAGTCCTTTTCATCCTTTCATGAACCTCCTAAGAGACACCATATTCTAGGATTTTATGCGATTGTGAAGTTTTCAGAAACTGCATCAGCATTAAGCAATTAACTGTAGAAATGACTTTAAAATTTTGTAGTTAAAGACATAATTGACAAGGAAATTTGGTTATTTATTTGACCAATAATAACAACATAATAACCATAATTATAATTAATGGCATATACTTAGACATATTAGAATTTTATTAATCCCATACAATTTTGGAACATGTATTAATATTATTCACTAAAATACAACCTGAAGAAGTTTAAACATTATCTTTTATTTTGACAATGGTTCCCATGTAACAAAACATGCCAAATAATTCTGTTTACCTCTCTTTTGGATGCTTTAGCATCCCTCTGTAACATCCCAAATTTAAAGGTTAGAAAATATTATTTTAAAGCTAAAATTTGATTTTTGGAAGCCTATCAAATATGATAAGGGTGTAAAACACTTAATATTATGAAATAGAATTCCAGGTCATCATAAGTCATTCACTTAGCCAAAATGATGACTCAAAAATTTTTAAAAAGGAAAAAACCTTTACTCATTGATAGAGGGAAAACTTAGCTTTCCAAAAATCGTCTCTTATATTTCTCCCTTTTCTGCTGTAGTTTATTCAAAAAGTAAACAAAAATCTTTTATTATTCTTTAATATTACATGAACATCTTGTCCAAGAGAGAAAGCCAATCTTCACCTTTGCATTAGTGTATTATTAATGTCAACCCCAATTCTAATAAAACTTTATAAACAACTTGATTAAATCTTAATCAGTTTTACCATAAGGTGAGATTCTCATAACCCTTTTATAACCCTTTACAAATTTTCTTAGGAAGCAGATGAGTGCTTTAAGAAAATCCTGTTGTGCTTTTATTTCAATGTTCAATTCATGGAAAAACTGAGTAATATGCCCTAAAATTTAGTCAATATCTTCACATGCAAAATTTCTTTTACATGATTAATATTTTACAAACCTTCCACAATTTGTTTAAACATTTAGCTTTATCTTACCTAATTTTAAACAGTCTTTAACCCACTAAACTAGGCAAATGCCTACTTTATAATATTTTATAATGCCTTCTTATAATATTTTACTAAAATCATATTTTATTTTCTTACACACCTTGCATGTAAAACTGTTCTTTTTTCAGTAGTTTCAATTACATGTGATGATGGTAACTCTTAGCAATTTTAAATTTTGGTGAAAGATCTGATAAGTTATTTTAATTATGTACTAGTTGTGGACCCTAGGGCACCCAACAGAAGTGCAGATAGATAAGGTCCAACTCTATCCAGCATAGTTAGGAGTGTGGCTAACTCCACATACAGCTAGGCCTTACCTAGCTGTAAACCAGGCAAGTTTAACAATTTTCAAAAGCCAAAGAAAGTTTATAACCTTAAAGCATTTAGCAAATGTAACATCTGACCTGCCTAATTTAGACCAATGTCTTTATTTTGCCAATAATCTTAAAACTCTTTGTTTCCCAAAGATTACTGAAGTCACGTGAACTAAAAGGCATTATAGCTTTTTTTCAAAATATTCTAAGTGCTTATTTTTTAAAACCAAATAATTAGAGCTTTTTATATAAACATCATACACTAACACATATATAACTATACAGATGGACAGAAGAAGATCCAGTAGTTGTAGAATTTGTAGGATTTTTCATTTGCCAGTTTTTAAGTTTCTTAATTGGATTATGGGCTTTAGGGTGGAGTCCTTGGAGGAACAGGGGTAGGAAAACATGTAGTTTCTAGGGACTGATAAGCAGGCACAGCTAGAAGGCAAAAACAGGTCTCCAAAATTATGAGTCCCATTTTAATATCTGATCTTAGATTCCAAAAAAAGGGGGAAATGTTAAGGGAGAAGACAGAGAAATGCTTTTACTGCATTTTATGCAAGGCAACCCAAAGCCAATCAGTCTGTTTTGTAATTAGCCCATCTTCCATGGGAATCTCATCTCTCAGTGGTGGGTGGTGACATTGCCATACCTTACAGATGACTAAGAGCATCTGTAAGTTTTTTTAGTCCAAATGTGCAAAGAGCTGAGTATCCCCCTATAACTGCCATTTGCCATCCCTAAAAGTATATTTAGCCTTGGATTTTGAGAGGGATCTACCCAAATCCCAGTTCTAGGGTTTCCTGAGGAAAACAGATGTTTTTCTCAAAACAGGGTCTGTGGTGCCTCCTCTGTTTTTCCCAAGGAGTCCCAAGCTGTTAGAGCTTGAATATCTGCTTTTAGTTAAGCTGACATTTAACCATAGTGCTCTTTAAAAAAAATTATTTTAAATCTCTTATTACCCGACTATTGTCATACCAAGTGGCCAATATTTCTGGCCTTTAAACTTTACCAAAAGTAACCTCACAGGTGAAACCAACAAGCCTCAACTGCTTACCACCTCTTTGAAAATACCTTGCACACTCTTGGAAAGTAGAAAGAGGGACACTCTTACAATCCCACTCATGAGTACTCTAACCTCAGGTCCTAATCAGCTCCCAAAGGGACCACCTCCTAAAATGAAGATAGGGAGATTAAGATTTCAACATATTAATTTGAGGGGGATGCAGAGATTCAGTCCATAACAAAAGACTATTGTGTCCGATGATAGTATTATATATACATTTCAGCCTTCTTAAGTAGTCACATAATATATCCTTTTTTATTCCTTTATTCTCAATCCATTTGTATTTTTAAATCTAAAGTTTCTCCTGCCAGCAGAATATAGTTTGATTCTGTTTTTTATTTTTGTTTTGCATTCAGTCCAACAATTTTTCAATGATTAGATTGTTTGATCTATTCACATTTAGATTGTATTTATACAATTAAATTATGTCTGCCATTCTAACTTTTGTTTTCTGTCTCATAGCATTCTTCTCTCTAAAGCCTCTTGCTGCTTTTTTGTGTGTGTAATAACTTTTTTCTAATATAACATATTATAGTTTAGTTATTTTCACTATATTTTTAGTTATTTTATAAATTATTGCTATAAGACTTATATATCCATCTTAAATACTACGTGTGTGCACAAGTACACAAACACATATATACACAGTATTTGTTATGTCAGACTTTTTATTTATTATTTCTCTGCATTGTTCTTGTGGATAGGAATTAGCATTCAAAGTTATTTCCTCAGCCCATATAGCTTTTCTTTCATCTATGTACATTGTGCTGGTATTGCTAAGTATATTGCATTTCTTTATGTTATATAACCTGGAATATAGTTTGCTTTTTTTTTTCTAATGATGCTTTCTTGTCCCAGTTTACAAGCCTGGCAGTTCACCTTTTTGAGGATCTGGTAAAATCCATACCCCAGCAGTGTCCCTTATTTGTATCTCATATTCAAGGGTGACTATGCACCCATCCTCATTGCCCCAGTGCCAGGGACTAAAGAATGAGGGATAGCCCCAATGCCTGAGAGTCCACCAAAATTATTCCAATTAGCCAGTCGACAAGGAGCCTGTGAAACCTAGCTAATCCCACCCAATTTGCCATACATAAGCTACCTGCTAAAGTTACACTTGGAGCTGCAAGCAACTATGAGTTTTGCCTTTCATCTTCCTGAGCGTCAGGAAAAAAAAAAAAAAGCTTTTTTTAACCAAAAAAATCTTTATATCACATACAACAATTGGTGCTGAGAGTAGGATGGCTGTGCCATCCCTATTGATTACTGAATAACTTCTTTGGGGAATTGCTCATGACTTATTAATTGGCTTCAAACATCTTCTGGTGCAACATAGGATAGAACCACTGCTTGTTGGCAAAATTATACTTAGCACATTATGCTTGCTGTTGTGTTTGCTGATATTTCCTTATCTTAACCTTACCCAAATGGTTTGGTAACATAAATCCCACAGTAATAATAATACATATGGCATAGTTTGATCGAATGATTTTCTGAGAGTAGAAGGTCCAAGGTGTGAGCAACCTCTTAAGAAATAGAAGCCAGAGCCTGAGCCATATCCCCTAGGATGAAGACTTCTGTGTTTTTGTGTCTGCCATATGACTTTGTTTTATTTTAAAGTGTAAAATGTTTATCTCCAGTTTGTCTCTGGTGGTTATGCATCATGGAGACACAAGTATGACTCTAAAATTGAGAGAGATAATGACTTCCTGACATATGATTTTGCATTGCTCATATAAAGGCGGTGTTATTACCCATCTTCTCTGACGGCAAATCTTACAACCATCACTAGAAAACTTCATACTCCTTACACCTTCAAAGATATCTTGGGTTGCACTCTTGGAAGCCAGTAACTCAAAGTTTAATCCAATAGAACTTCTGCACAGGGATGAATGTCTCGTCCCATCCTGCAAAGCACCTATGCCCTACAGCCCTCCCCTCAACAACTTACTAAGTTAAGCAAATGCTTAGATAATTCAAGATCTCTAGCCAGTGTGCTTGAGCCTTAGAGAGTACTACCACATATCTTTGATTCAGCTCCAATGAGTAGAGGAACACCAGGGTCCTCAGTCTCATGCCAAATTGGATAAAATAACACGGACACACGTGGCGTGGTTTTAAGGAGTGGAGAGTTTAATAGGCAAGAAAGAAGGAAGGAAAAAGAAAACAGCTCCCTGGTACAGAGACGGGGGTGGGGGGTTGTAGTGGGGGGAGTGTTGGGAGGGGAGGTGCGTGTTGGGATTTAAGCAAAGAGAAAACCCTGTGTGTGGCGGAAAAGTGGTTGCTTATTTGAGGAGAAGAGGAGGCTGAAGGAGGTGGTGTTTGATTTGCATAGTGCTCAGGGGATTTGTTTGACCAGGCATGTCATTCACATAGCCCACAAAAAAACTGGCCCTCCCACCCTAGCCTTTTAATATGCAAATGCAGGGCACCATGTTGGTCTATACAGGTGGGGATATGTGGGGGCGGCCATATACAGGACATGTGGGGGCAAGGGCAAGAAGAAGGCAGGAATCACCATGTTTGAGTGGATCCAGTTTCTAATGGCTTGCATTTGCACGTCAAAGCTTGAACTCCCGGCTCTAAGAGCCAGGGCTTTCCTGCTAGAGAAGAAATGTTTCTGGAGCTCCTTTAAAAGAAACAAAAACTTTCCAAGGAACCCTTTTCCTCTCTATCTGCCTAAAATAATTTCTTAATAACTTCTATAACATCATCATACAAAGAGATTAATACTCCAGACAGTGGGGCTACCTGTACTGTCCTGAGAAGAGCTGCTAACTCTAACTGTAAAACCTCAGAGGTAAACAGAGAAATCTTAGAAGTGCGAAATAGTAGCCTATAAGGCAGGTCCCTGGAGAACCCAGAATCCTTTCTTTGTAACAGCCGAGAAGGTCAACACTATGAGTCATAAGTAAAGGAAGGCAGGAAGGCAGAAAGGAAGGAAGGGAGGAAGGAAGAAAGGAAAGGAGGCAGGGAAGACAAGACCAATATATAGGAGAAAGCAAAAATAAATAGTGTGTATGTGTGTGTGTATTCGTGTGTCTGTTAGCGGGACTTTAAAACAAAGGTCCATAATTTAACCCAATTAAAATCTAAAACTGATTAAAATAATTTATATAGCAAAAAGATTAAAAGGGTGCTGACTGGATTTTTGTGACTCTATAACAAGGCTCTGAATTAAGTTCAGAATTTGCTGAAATACATTAATTGACAAATTTCACAGACTTAATACTGGGACTCTAATTACAGTGATAGCTGTGGATCTTACTAAATTTAAACATGGCACCCACTATAACTTAGGAGAATAACTAAATATTAGATAGAAAAAAGGAGCTATGCCTCGCATTACCTGTAGTCTTTCCCAAATTTACCATAATCATATTACCTTTTGCCCCCAAAATATCACATAATAGGCATACTCTGATACAAGTAATAAATTAAAATTAAATTGCCTTTGGTACTTACAAATTGTCTTGATAAAATGGGACTCTGTGAGCTCCCAATTAAAATAGTTAAAATGGCAAGATATAAGTTAAAACAGGGAAGTACTTCAAGGATTAAAATGTGTTATATTAGACATAATAAACGGGTGATTATTCTCACTACTACTCCATTTGACAGCCCAATTTTGCCTGTTGTGAAACCTGAAATGAATAAATTGCATCTCATCATGGATTAATGCAATCTTAAAGCCATGGTGCCATCTATTAAGCCCTCATGCCCAATGCCCAACATCATTAAAATTACTAATTTCATTCAATCAGCAACTGGTAAATATTTGCCATTTTAGATTTAGCTAATGTGTTCTATTAAGTGCCTTTTCAGCAGCCTCTCAGCCAGTTTTCCTTCATCTCCAAAGAGATGTGACAAATTTTGCTAGATTATCCAGGAGGGACTTCAACTGCTTTGCCATCACACACTATCTTTGCAGACACACTATCTTAACTGTATCCCATTTCTCCAGGAACATAGGTATGATATTACATTGAAGACATTCTCCTCTGAGGAGATTCGTTTGACACGCTTATTAAGGACAAACAAATTCAACATCTTTTAGCCCTATTTTGGTACTGGAGGCAACTTAGTACTCATACAAATTTTACTTCATCTCACTGATGCTACTAAGTTACTAATCAGTACACCTTAACTAGAGCCCCCTCCAAAAACAGCTCTAGAATATGTCCAAATTAAAATCAATAGGTACTTTTGTTAGTGCCCTTAGAGACTCCTTCACTGTACAGGCTCTAACTACTTCCTCTCATGCTGTAACTGAGTACCCCCATTTTTCTAAGAAATAGTGTTTTTTTTTTGTTTGTTTGTTTTTAAATAATAATTTCTCTTCTTTTTTACTTTCTTTTCCTCTGGTTTCCCACTTCCTACATAGTCTTTAGAAATGCAAATACAGCCTTTGACCGCCCTTCCAACAGACTATCCCTACAGTGCAAATTCAACTATGTGCTCCAAGACCAAACAGAGTTAACAGTTGATTTACAAGCCAAAGCATGCTGCTACATAACTTTCACCCTCCAGGGGGTTGCCTTCAGAGATAACAGCTTGCCCAGAAAGGCACCAGAAGTCTGCAGCTGGATCAGACAGTAGATACAGCATCAGAGCTAGCATGCACCCTCTGCTCCCTTCCCCTGCACCATTTTGCTCATTTCCTCCCTTGCCTTGTGTTTTGTTTTGTTTTGTTTTGTTTTGTTTTTGAGATGGAGTCTCTGTTGCCTAAGCTTGAGTGCAGTGGTGTGATCTCAGCTCACTGCAACCTGTGCCTCCTGGGTTCAAGAGATTCTCCTGCCTCAACCACCCGAGTAGCTGGCCCTGCAGGTGTATGCCACCATGCCCAGCTAATTTTTGTATTTTTAGTAGAGACAGGGTTTCACCATGTTGGCCAGGCTGGTCTCGAACTCCTGACCTCAAGTGATCAACCTGTTTGGCTTTCCAAAGTGCTCCCTTGCCTGCTTTCTGCTCCAAAAGTGAAGCTGTAAGGTAAGACACATGTGCCTCTTTCCCTAAGCTAGCTCCAGAATCAATCAATTTCTTTGTGTCAGACCTAACTCTAATTAATCAGACTCTGCATGTGGTGAGCAACTAACCTTTTGTTTGGTTACAATGCTTCCTGGAGGCTCTGGACCAACTATGATGGCCAAGAGTTGCCCATGAGGTTCTGTTATAAAAATATCCTTCTCAGTCCCATATTATATACCATTAGAATAAAGTTTCTGGGCACATATTAAGTTATCCTGGATATAAAGCCCCTTACAGCCCCTTAGCTTGTGACTGTACATACTCAGCTTCCTATTATGCTCAGGTGATGAAAGCAGCTCCCTACAAGTTCTGCACAGCTACTGAGGCTCCCCACACACAGGTTTGACCCAAACCTGGGCCCACTGGCATATTCAACATGCAAGGGTGGGTGACTCCCCTTTTTCACTTCCTTGACAGATGCCACAATATTAGAGGATAGAGGAGATTATCAGGCCTCTGAGCCCAAGCCTGCACGTATATATCCAGATGGCCTGAAGCAACTGAAGAATCACAAAAGAAGTGAAAATGGCCGGTTCCTGCCTTAACTGATGACATTCCACCATTGTGATTTGTTCCTGCCCCACCTTAGCTGATCAATTAAATTTGTGAAATTCCTTCTCCTGGACAATAAGTCTCAGAAGCTCCCCCACCAAGCACCTTGTAACAACCCCTGCCCCCTGCCCGCAAGAGAAAAACCCCTTTTGACTGTAATTTTCCACTACCCACCCAAATCCTATAAAACTGCCACACCCCTATCTCCCTTCGCTGACTCTCTTTTCGGACTCAACCCTCCTGCAGCCGGGTGATTAAAAAGCTTTATTGGTCACACAAAGCCTGTTTGGTGGTCTCTTCACACGGACCCGCATGACAGAGATGACCCCTTTTCTAGAGCCCTTGGCTACCTGAGGAGCACCTTCTGAATAAATTAGTGAATAACAATGAAAGTTCATAGACTGTATAGATGACATTGCTGCCATTATAAGTGGTAGTGGTCAGGAGAATGTTGCTTCTTTCTCTATTCCTTAACTAGGATTTCACAGATAAAGGACAGGCCAAAGGGTCAGCACAATTAGCTTTCTTATCACTGGATGCCCTGGCCGATAAATGGCCTAATTTGCACTTTTTTTTTTTTTTTTTTTTTTTTACAAAATCATGGTCTACTGTCTAAGACTTATTCCTTTTATCCCTGCCTTTCCAGGATAAAGAATTCTATAGATTTCTTGCCTCATAGATACCTAAAATACAAATTAAGGTCCCATTTTTTTCTACGTATACTAAGGTCACAATACAGAGCCTCAGCAAGAGATGCCTTACCCTCCTTATCCTTAGTATAACCATGGTACACCTTTCAAGTCTCAAAATACACAGTGTTGGGCTTTAGAAAAAGACATTCAATACAACTTGTAGGCAGATGGTTTAATTAAAACTGTAGTAGTCTCCTTAAACAATTCCTTTTCAACCTTAGTCCAGCAGATAGACCCATCAATAGGTCTCTATTTTGCCACAGGCTTTAATTTCTTTTAATTCAAGGTACCTTGACTATTCACACCTCATACCAATTTAAAAAACAAAAGCAAAAACTAAACACTTAACCATCTTCCTTTTCTGTGTTTAAAGTTGGTTATGTCTCAACTCTATGTATATGAAAACTCAATATGTATGAGGCCCTTTAATAATGTCTCCTCATTTATTGTTAACAGATTTTCAATCATGCCTCTCTTCTTTAGGGCTAAAGGCCAGAGTAACTGTGAATATTCTCTTGAGACCTGTTAACCATAGATTGTCCAATAGGCCAGGAACCTGTCCATTTAAAATGAGACCCATTTGAACTTCAACTTCTACCACTCAAAATCCTTCAATATTTAGATCATAAGGGTTGGATCACTCATCTAGCTCTCCTTCAGGAAATTAAAATTAGTTCCCTAGGACCATTCCTACAAGCCATGTAGACTACCCAGAAGAGAGAATAATACAAACAAACAAAAAACAATACTTAGTAAATGAATATCATATTCAGAGATAATAATGGAATCAGTACTGTGTGCCATAATAAAACCCAAAAATTCCTCCTGGTAATAATGCATGCTGGATAAAATTAATATCAGACAACAAAAGCCAGTCAAGTCAACCTGCACACAAGTGTGTTGACTGTTGGCTTTATTATTATTATGGGTGATTTTATTGGTTTGCAATCTAGATGCCCAAACTCCATGGAAGATGTTGTTTTAACCAAACATAGCAAATACTGAAGCCTATGTGTCATCAACTTTAGCTAACACAAACCATGAAGCCCAAAGACACTGCTGGCTTGCCTGTCATCAACTGAACCAACAAGTGAGGTAAAAGGCCCATAATAATTGGCCAAAGTAGAAGCCCTGCCTAGTGGCTAATTCTGGACTTCCAGTTTCTAGCCTCAGATATTTTTATTGGCAACAACCTAACACCTATCGACAACATGCACCAAAATTAGGCCATGTAAATTAAATCTTATTCCCAAAAGAGTCTCTCATTACCCATCTTGATAAATCCTTTCACCATTGAACAATTTTACATTTGTGTATCCTTAATTGGGCTTTAATTGTGCCAGTCAGTTTCTGGCACTTTGGCCTATTACAAGAGTATCATGGACGCCATCATCACCTTTGCCAGCTGTGCCCATAGAAGTCCTTAACTTAAAATATTTTGTCAATTGAGCTCCCACAGCTTACTTTCAAATTCTACAATCAGTTAATTTTCATTTCAATACCATAGAGCCAAAAAAACATATAACCCATATCAACCCTGCTGGGTATCTGCTTGGGAAGGGTACTCCAGTCCCACATATTAGATGACATCATCTTGGCCCAAGAGCTTTTCAGAGATCACATTGCCTTGGCACAATACCTTGCTATTGGAAATAACTTTGATCCTACACAGGGCATGACTTCAACCAGGATACTAGACTACAGTCTCAGAAATGCCCATAGGCCACCTGCCCTAAAGCACTTACAAATGGGACACTGAAGAAAGCATTTATTGCTTTCTATCTTTAGTATTAGAGATTTTATTATATTTCCTGAATTAAGCCTATGATCTTGGTGTACGCTGCTTTCTGCCAAGTGTACACACTTACATTACCATGCCTAAAGGGCAGTCTTGTAGAGGTTACTAGTATCTGTGCCATTCTACAAAATAAGGCAAATTGCTTTCCCAAGGAGGCAAGTGTTGGCTCCACTACCTACTTAGGCATCATGTAATCTTGAAGAATTTACTAATGTTTCCATGCCATAGTTTTCTCATCTATAAAATTGAAATGTGAATTATTTCTACTGTAGAAATATGAGGATAAGAGGAGTTAATATATTTAAAGTGATTATAACAAATGACTGGAATTCATGAGTACTCAATAAATGTGAGCTATTATCATTAAGAACTACAAAGATAAGAACATAAAGAGCAAAAGACATGTAAAGGCAACTGCTCAAGATACTTTAAATAAGATACAAGAAAAAAATCAAGTCATAAAACAGTAAGATATCATTTATCAACTATCACAAAGCATGTTTTTAACTCCTACCTAAAGTTACAAAATGTTTGCTCATACATAATGTTATTAAAAGTGAAGAGCAATGGCCATTTTCATTCATTTCTGGTGGGGGTGTAAGCAACTTAGTTTCTGTGGAAAACAAATTGATAATTTGTTAGCATTTAAAGGGCACACATCCTTCCACTTAGCAATCCTTCTACTATGAATTAACCTTGTAAATACAGAAACAAAAATGTCTCAAATGGAAACACCCTCATATGCACACTTTTCCCTTTATGCAATCATACAAAAATATTTAGTGAATAGTTGTGGGTTAAGAAATTAGGAAGAGCCACCTCCACCTTTTATTTTGTAATATTAGACAAAATAATAATATATACAATGCGAATATATCCACACATAGGCATACACACATGTCTAATGTGTAATAATAATAATTATTATTATTTAGATTGGCAAATGTTATCTGGGAAGGAAAATGATGTTTTCTTTATTACAGTTCACCTCATTTAAAAATTAAAATGTGTAACTTTTTTATTTTTAAAATATTGAAATGTTGAAGCTGTAATCATCGTAAGAGAAATTTAAAGTAGTCAAAAGTGGGTAAGAAATGTTGATACATTATAAAATAAAAAGGAATATATTTACACTGTATAAAAAGTGAACACACACACACACACACACAAATCCTAACCAAAAATAAAGCTGGGATCAGTGATAAACACACAGTTATTTCATATAGTGCCTGGTATATGGTCAGTGCTCTCTATTACTCTATTAGTTGTTGCTAATACAGTTGAGTGTTTGTATTTATTTTAGAATATGAGATGAATAAGGCAGAAAACTGGATGTTTTCAGAAAATAAACTTAGTTTTAACACAGACAAAATTTTCAATAATGATGAGGTCTTTAAAATATCTTTGAATGAAAGTCTAAGATTATGAAAATCTAAAAGAAGATTATGCCAGTTAGAAGCCTTTACAAATAAGATTTCTCTTGCTTTGGCAGAGACAATGAGTTTGCCTGTGGGTTTTTCAGGAAAAAAAAAAATCTGTGACCCATAATCTATTATGACTGGATGGTGAATATTTCGAGAAAATACAGGATTATAAAATCCACAGGGTCAGCTAATTTTTATAATAAATCCATGTCCTCCCTGTGAGATATATATATATATCTCACATATAATACGCACATACATGCATGCACACGTAGTATTTAAAGCCAACATAGACAAATCCAAAGCAGAAGTTCAAAGTGGACATTTCCTAAGGAAATGAGGTGGAGAGAGATCCTTTTTCAGGAGTTAAGTTATTTTAGAAAGAAATGAACCATATGAGCAGCAGGTGTGTATGCTAATAGAATGACTCCACATTTTAATTAAGCAGTATTTCCCTACAGAATAATTACATATGTTGTTTATTCAACTATTTTTTAAAGGCCATTAACACTTCTGTAATGTGCTTTCTTCCCAGGCTAGAAGTTAGAAGCTTTAGGAACATTTGCTTTCATTATACAGAATAGGAACTCTGCTTATTGCAAATAATTGTTCTCTATAAAATAGTGCATCCAGAAATTCAAACAAACATATTAGTAGTCTTTCTTTCATAGTTTAAATTTATAAAATTTTTCATAGCTTTATTGTAAGAAATTATTCCCTGAAATATATAGAAGAGTAAAAAGTTTTGAGATATCTTCAAATAAATATTATTCCACCAATGGGAAATTCTACAGCTGCCATTAACTCTCATAGTTGCTGTGGGGAAGTTCAGTGGGGGACTGTCACTGCATGCCAGCCAGAAAATCACCCTGTTTTATCTTCTGAACTACACAGTTGTCAAGTGAATTTAAATCTTCCACACTGAAACACCCAGAAAAGAAGCCATTGTTTCTTTGGAAGAGTCTCTGGAGAAATCTCCATAGAATTATCTTATAAACGGAAGAAATCTTATACATTTTAAAGGCTTATAGAGGATTTGACAGTTGGGAAAGTATAATTTTCTTACTTGGACTATCATAAATCTACAGAAGTTTTGAAAAAGAGATTTAATGGTGCTGAGTTTCTCAACAGACAAAATCAGCTAATTGAATTCTCTGAAAGATGAGCTCATAAAAAGTGTCATGAAAGATGCCTATAATATTATCTCTCAAAATTTTGAATTTAGCTTCTAAGGCTTCTGTATTCTAGTGCTTCAGATTTTGATTATTTATGCTGGGATAGTGAAATCGTCTGAAGCAGGCTCAATATATTCATTGTCAGCACAGGAATCCTAAGAAGAGAAAATGCTTTATTAAATTTAATTAGGGGTTTGAAAAGAGAGATATTCTTCTTTTCTATCTCTATATATCAATTTTATAAATTATTGTCAAAATACTTGTAGACATGGGTGGAATAAAATGCTTGACAATGAGCATTTTTATATAAATAGTTCTGAACAAATTGTACTGTTTTTCTAGGAAAGCAACAAATGTGATTGACTGTTGAATGGAAATATCATGGTTGGCTAAATTCAGGTACCTTTCTCGAAATAAAAAAGTTAGCCCCTGAGGCTACTAAAGTCAGATATCCAAAGAACACAGCTTTACACCATACAAATAGATATTAATTCAAGATGCATTTTAAATGCATGTGTCAACCATAACAATAGGCATTATACACACATTATTTTGTTTACACCAACCACGTCCTGAAGAATATATGCCTGGTTCCTTAGAAGTGAATTAAAAGCACAGTTTAAAAGAAAGAAGTTCTCCAGCATAGACAACACAATAGGGTAGATTTTTCGATAAATAGGTGTGAGCGTTCTCAAATAACTGTCTGATATTGTAGAGTCACACCTTCTTTCATGACGAATAATACATTTCTTTCTTAACGTGTGAATTCAGTTGTCATTTTATAAAGCAAAGACATACAACTGAAATTTGGGCAAGCCATTAAAAATTCTCCTCTTATAACTTCATAAAATAAATTATGGGAAAATTAGATTAAAGTTTATTTTTTCTGCTAGCTGAACTTCTTTTTCAGATGGGGTATTGCTCTGTTGCCCAGACTGGAACTCCTGGCCTCGAGTGATCCTCCCACTTGGCCTCCAAAAGTGCTGGGATTGCAGGTGTGAGCCACAGTGCCAAGCCTAGGTAAATACTTAAAGCAGGCCAGGCACGGTGGCTCATTCCTGTAATCTCAGCACTTTGGGAGGCCATGGCAGGCTGATCACTTGAGGTCAGGAGTTCAAGACCAGCCTGGCCAACATGGTGAAAACCCGTCTCTACTAAAAATACAAAAAATTAGCCGGGTGTGGTGGCAGGCACCTGTAATCCCAGCTACTCAGGAGGCTGAGGCAGGAGAATAGCTTGAACCTGGGAGGCAGAGGTTACAGTGAGCTGAGATTGCACCATTGCACCCCAGCCTGGGCAACAATAGCGAAACCCCGTCTCAAAACAAACAAACAAACAAATAAATAAATAAATAAAGCAATATTTTGCCACTAACTTTTTAGAAGTGAAGAGGAATTACAACATCTATATTGTTAGGTTTCTAATGATGTTCTCTTTTAACAGGGTCTTAAAAAGTAGGCAAAATGAAGCCAAAATATAACTCCATTTAAAGGAAACCTTAATCATTATAAAGTGTGACTTGATACATATTTTTTATTTTCAAAAGAATGAAATAATTACACATTTACACACAAATGTAAAATATTCTAGAATCAATTTCCATAAAAATCTTTGAAACTCTGTGTACACTTGATTGAATCAGGTATTTGATAACAAACAGATGCCATCATTTGGACAGAATTCTGTGTATAGGTCTGAAGAATTGAGATCTAGATCAAGTTAGTAGGCCTTATATTTTAATGGTGAAGAAGATGAGGAAGAAGAAGAGGACAAAGAATAAGAGGAGGAGTTCATGCCTGTAATCCCAGCACTTTGGGAGGCCAAGGCGGGTGGATCACAAGGTCAGGAGATCGAGACCATCCTGGCCAACATGGTGAAACCCCGTCTCTACTAAAAATACAAAAATTAGCTGGGCATGGTGGTGTGTACCTGTAATCCCAGCTACTCAGGAGGCTAAGGCAGGAGAATCGCTTGCATCAGGTAGTCAGAGGTTGCAGTGAGCCAAGATGGTGCCACTGCACTTCCAGCCTGGTGACAGAGTAAGACTCCATCTCAAGAAAAAAAAAAAAGAATAAGAAGAGGAGAGAAAGAGGGAGGAGGAGGAGGAGGAAAAGAGGAAGAGGAGAAGGAGAAGGAGAAAGAAGTTGTTCATATGTTTCTTTCCCTATTTTCTGAGGTCCTTCTAAATCTTATAATTTTAAGGTTTTGAGGTTTTATTAATTAGTTCTATAATATTAAGCATACATAACACATGTAAATTAATTCTTGTCACATTTTACATATACATGTAATTATAATTATGGTCAACATTTAACTTCTGTGAACTTGGTGTGTAAAAAAAATCTAATTACCCTAGGTCTTATCACCTACATTGCTAAAATATCTTCCACTAATGGATACGAATGTAGTTTCTGGCTACTGTTTGATTATAGAACCTGATTTATTTATTTATTTATTTATTTTCCTCACATGTTACCAGAGGGAGGCTAGAAAAAAAATGAGATTTTTTTTTTTTTTTTTTTGGCCTGCTCTGTATCTGTCGTACTTGGTGGTCACTAAATCCTTACTAAATTAATACAAAGACCACCACAGTAGCAATAAAGTGAATTATACCTTTTTAATTGAAGAATGAAATTTCCTGAGACAGTTTACTTTTTATTTCACTACTTCTGTTAGTTCCCAGGGATGCATAACAACATGTCACAAAGTGAATGTCTTAAAGTAACATACATTTCTTTTTTTTACAGCACTGGAGGTTAGAAATCTGAAGTAAAGGTAGATCCATTCTCCCTCCAAAGCCTCTAGGGGAGGAAACTTCCTTGCCTCTTCAGCTTCCGGTGACCCCAGGTGTTCCTTGGTTTATAGGATTGTAACTCCAATCTTTGACTTCATCTTTATGTGATTTTCTTTCCTCTGTGTCTCTTTTGTACTTAGGAGGACACTAGTCATATTGGGTTAAGGACCCACCCTGCTTCTGCATGACCTCATCTTAATGAATTATATATGTGTGACTACATCCAACACAAGGTCTCATTTGGAGGTATTGGGTGCTAGGACTTCAATATATCTTTTTGGGGGGATACAATTCAACCCATAACACTAACATATATTTAAAACTAAATGTATGCATGGCTTAAAAATATTGTGATGAATGATATTAGGACTTTACCATTGTGGAAGGATAAATCATAACTATCATTTTCATAGAAATGATAAAATGAAAATGGAACAACTACCTTATAAATAAGTGCTATAGAGAACTAATCTTAATGATTAAGTAGACTTTTATGTTTGATATTTCACTTGACCTTCATATTCACTTTAATTATATTGAGCCTTATAGGATATCAACAAACAGTGGTTGTCTTACCTATGACAAAGTGCCAGAATTTTAGTGTTCCCTCTTACATACTGGACCTTTAATATAATTTTGATATAAAACTGATATACTAGCATTAAAACAAGTTTAGGTAATACTTATAGTAATGCATCTATAACATACTAGGTAATGCTACTTACTATTTAGTCTAATCAGGTACATTCCTGCTATTCTGGAATTATATTAAAATCATTAGAAAAATCATGTAGTTTAAGTACAATCATATAATCTACTTTTTGTGCTTCATTTTCTCAAATAAACTGAATTTCACTCAGTATATTAGTTAATTAAATTGAGGATCCCTGGACAGAATATAGATTTTTTCTTCAAATTTTTATCTAAACTTTTTTTTAATAAGAAAACATTCTAGACTAATATTGTTATGTGAAGTTTTAATACTATTGTGAAGTTGTTAACTGGTTACTTTGTAGTTTCTATTGTGTAGTTGCTTTATAGGATCTGTAGACTATGCACTTGAATATGGTTTTGTGGTAGCAGGTATTATTCTTTTGTTCCCATCTTTAGAACTCCCTTGATAATTTGTTGTAAGGCTGGTGTAGTGGTAGTGAATTCCCTTAGTGATAGCTTGTCTGGAAAGAATTTTATTTCAAGCTTAGTTTGGCAGGTTATGAAATTCTTGGCTGGAATTTCTTTTTCTTTTTTCTTATTTTTTTTAATGCTGAAAATAGGCCCTGATGTCTTCTGACTTGTAAAGTTTCTACTGAGACATCTGTTGTTAGCCTAATGGGTTCCCCTTTGTATATGATCTGACCTTTTTCTCTAGCTACCTTTAAATTTTGTGTGTGTGTGTGTGTTGACCTTGCACAGTCTGGTTATAAAATGCCTTGGTGATCTTTATTTTATTATAGTACCTCAACAGGCGTTCTCTGAATTTCCTGTACCTGGATGTCTACCTTTCTAGCAAGATTAGGGAAATTTCCTTGGATTATTCCCTCAATTATGTTTTCCAAGTTTTTGGCTTTTTCTCCTTCTCTTTCAGAAATTCCAGAAATACATAGATTTGATCAGTTTACATAATCTAATGCTCAACATCACTATTCATCAGAGAAATATAAATCAAAACCACAATGAGATACCATTTCACAACAGTCAGAATGGCTATTATTAAAATGTGAAAAAATAACAGATGCTGATGAGACTGAAGGGAAAAGGGAACACTTATGCACTATTGGTGGGAATATAAATTAGTTCAGCCACTATAGAAAGCAGTTTGGACATTTCTTAAATAACTTAAAACAGAACTACCATTCAACCCAGCAATCTCATTACTGGCTATAGACCCAAATAAAAAGAAATCATTCAACAAAAAGACATATACAATTATACATTCATCCCAGCACTAATCAAAATACAAAAGACATGAAATCAAGTTAGATGCCCATGAGTAGTGCACTGCATAAAAAAAAAATGTACATCTACACCATGAAATACTGTATAGCTATATAAAAGTACAAAATCATGTTCTTTGCATCAACATAGGTGCAGCTGAAGGCCATCATGCTAAGCAAATAAATGCAGGGACTGAAACCAAATATTGCATGTTCTCACATATAATAGGGGGCTAAACATTGTGTACTCATGGACAAAATGATGGGAGCAATATACACTGTGGACTACCACAGAGGAGTGGGAAGCATTAGCCCTAAAACTACCTATGGGGTACTATGCTCACTACTTGGGAGATGGGATCATTTGTGCCCCAAATCTCAGCACTATGGAATATAGTCATGTAACAAACATGCACATGTACCCCTTGGATTTAAAGTAAAAATTGAAATTATTTAAAAATCTTTAAAAAGAAAACAAAAGAATAATATCTGACTCTCAAGACAATTCTCATTTAAAACATATGATTCAGGAAAATACAAGAGAAAATGTAACTTAGATAAATTTGCAACAAAGTGTTACTGCTCTGTTTTCTGCTTAATAATAATTTTTAATAGAGGCTCAATGGCACATTTCCAGTAATTTAATGAAAAAGTTTAAAGCTGGTGGACATTATTACATTTTTGGCTTCCTGAGTTTAATGTTGTCCTAGTTTCTATAGCTACATGCTTAAATATGGTAGCTACATGTGGCTATTTGAGCACTCAACACGTGGCTAGATAACTTAAGGACTTGAATTTTTGATTTGTATTTTTAATAAAATAAAATTTAAATTAAAAACGAAAGCAGTATAAAATATTCATTCTGTTAAATTCATTTAAGTAATTTTAGCAGGCCTATATTATAACCATTGAAAATACAGAATTCAAATTGAGCTGCATTATAAATATGCATACCAGAATTTGAAGACTGATGAAAATAATTTAATGTAAAATATCTCATTAATAATTTTAATTAGATTATATGTTGTAATAATATCTTGCATATATGTTTACTTTTAATGCGAGTACTATACATTTTTCTAATAAGAATTTATTTTACTATTAAGAAGGCAGGGTGCCTCTGTGTTTTGCTTAAAATTACTGGGCATCCACTTGTAGGTTTTCAAAAAGATATAAGATACATGAATTATTTTCCAATCATTCTTCACTCCAACAAGCAGCAGTGAAAAAGAGAGCTTAAAGGATAGTGCAGTTATTGTCAAAAGCAGGGGATGGATGAAATGTGAATAATTCTATCTTTGTAATTTTTCAGCCAGTTTTAATATCAGGCACTCATAAATAAAATATTATATATATATATAGTCTCTATTACAACATTTAATTTCAAATCAAATCTCTTGGAGAAACTCATACAACACTGACTTATACTTCAATGTTTGACGCTTTGTTACATTCAGTCTGTTTTTATAAGACAATTACACTCAACACCTATGAGGATTTAGATCAAAGATGGTGGTTTATCAAGATTTATCTTAAAAAAATCAACTGCTTTCAAAGAGCTGCTATTCACTTGAACAAATCCAAATAAAAGGCAAACTATGTGCGAGGCTCAAATTAGTATAATTGTTCTTTCTCTTATTGTATTTTTCTAAAATAAAATACTAATTCTGTCATTTTAATTGATTAATTGCTATTATTTTTCATGGGTATAAAAATAGCTGTTCTTAGGTTACTAGAGTTACATAAAGTTAATTGAAGTAAAAATACTTCTTCACTTTCACTTTCAGTTAGCAGAATGTCATACTTTTCACATTTTAAAATATTTTATCATTTTTTAAAGGTTATTCTTATCTATTGTATACTATTTATTTAAATAAATGCAAAATACTCCCTTTAACTGTATACAGGTTGTTTTCAATATTTCTCTATTATAAATAATGTTTTCATATTAGTTTTTATAAAATTAGTATTTTGTGCATTTCTAATTGGTATGTTAAGGTGCTTTTCAAAAAGAATTACAAGGTAGAGGAAGCAACTATTCAAAAGACCTGTGAAATACTACAAAAAAGCCTTTAGAAGTTCATTTTAATTTACATTTATACCACGTGTTAATAAATTTGCTATTTCACAAACTTTTACCAATAGAATCATTTTCCACATTTTTTGGTTTAATTTTTCATCTCTTGTGAATTATATGTTCATATCATTTGTATACTTTTTATTAGAGATTTTATTTGATTTCGTATTTATATATCATATTATGCATATTTCATTACTTTCCTTTAATTAATTTAAAACAGTAAGTTTATTAGAAGCTTGTCTTTATTGTGTCATGGCATATACAAACAAAACAAATAAACAAAAGGGGAAACAAAAAGGGCAACATAAAATTAATTATTTACATAACTTATTATCGCTTATTTGGGGGAAGGACAGTACAATCTCTCATGCTCATTCATAGTTTATGGTATGTCTTAACATTGGGAGTAGAAGAGTATTGTGAGTAGGCATGCTCACTTTGATGTGAGAATTATAACCTTCTACGAAGTATAATTTTTTAATTGATGAAAATATTCAATGTGTGTACTACCAAGGCAGAAATGGATGATGCCAAAGTTAATGAAATTAAAACAAAAATAAAATAGAAAAAAATCTTGACAAAATAGATTTTTAAAAATAGGATCAGAAGATTATATCTTCTCCGAAATGTGCTTATTTTTTATGTCCTGAATAAATTATATCTTTTAACAAGTTTTTCTTTTTATCTCCAATTCATCAAGATTTTTTTCAGACTACTGTTTTCTAGGTGTGAAAACCCAATGTGAATTAATCAACCCTCTTGGAATCAGGACACTGAATGTAGAAAGTATCTAAGAGGGCTGCAGTGTGCTCAGGATGTATGTTGGCTGTAATTTAGTTCAAGTAGCTTCAAAACCCACCTCCACAGCAGGAAACCAATCCCCTGTGAAAATTTTCTGGATATAAATGCAACTGAATTTAATTGGAAAAGCCTTGAATTTAGGAGCCAATCATCCAGAAAATGTCAAATTAAATGGAAAATTACTCTGCTTCACCTTGAAGATAGCTTCATACCTTAGAAAATTGCCTTGAAAAGCAGCTTCTTTCTACAATGTGCCTTTAAGGCTATACAATGACCATTGTACCCCCAAATAGCAATATTAAGTATGAGTTGCATGGTTTAATCATAGAAAAACTAAGACAAGTAAGCATAAGACTAGCTTGTTTACACTCAATTGCATGTCTCCTAAAATGTTGATATAGAAATGTAAAAGTTCTTCCATTTTGGAATGATCAGAAATTACTCCACAGCTTTTCATTGGTTTGTTATATTATTAAAAGTTTCTCTGAAACTCCAGACTTGTAGCCATGCCTAAATGGGAGACAAGGCCATGACTATACATTTTTCATTGTATTGAGCACATAGAAGTTGGAGGTTGGGGAAAATCTATGAAATGACTGACTGGTTTGTAATTAAAAATGTATTTTCTTCATGACAAAGAACATGCTAAGTATTTGCTCTTCATAGAGCCTTGAAATAGCACTCCTCTCTGAAGCCCTCTTTGGCCCTATCCACAGTATCTCCTACTCCTTTTCTATTATGTTTTTATTACTGGTTCATAAGATTATCAGGGCATATAAAAAGTAATTTTATTCATTCTTTCCAGTGGTAACAAGGTAGGGCGGGGACTGTTCAACTTGATTGCAGGTGATAATGAAGAACATTGTTTGTAAATAGATTTAAAAATTAAATGAAACTAAGATTCAGTCTGCTTTTTATTATTACCATGAACCAAAGATCTGAAAAAATGACATTGATACAAAACTTTTCTCTCTCAGAAGATCACTCCCACCCCAGGGACACCCTCCACTCCCCATGCCCCTAATCCTTATTACTGGTTGGAACAACACAAGTTATATGGTAACCTATAAAATTGGTGGCCCCAAAAGATAGTTTCCCCGTTTGGTGCCACAGACCTTATACACAAAACTGAAAGTGAGCTTCAAGCAGAGCAAGTTTTATTCCACATCCAGGGAATGGAGAAGCAGGAGTGTGGCTCGCAAATCAACGTCTGGACTAGTGAGGGGCAGGGAGGTTAAAATATAAAGTTTCTCTAACTAACAGTTTGGATATTAAAAGCAGAGGGAAGAATATTCATATCTTTTCCAGAAGTGGAGAGGGAACTTCTCTGAACTGGTAGCACCACCTTCTTTTTGCCCTTTTATGGCTTCTACCAGTCATTGTCATGGTGATTGTCATGTTATGGTGCTGGTGGGAGTGTCATTCAGCATGGAAATGAGATTATAATGAAGTCTGAGGCTGTCTTGGTTCTAACCAGCCTCAGCTGGTCTGATTACAAAGGGAAATTCTTGCAGAAGGTATCTTGTTTCCTAAGGATAAACAGAGTTAGGGCGGAGTAGAAATTCATTTATGTCACCCATGCATTGCACTGGGTAATAATACCACCCTCCCTTAAGTGCCATATATATTTGGAGATAAACCTATTTTAAAAATAATTCATCTTTATACATCTTGACAACATTGCAGACACTCAGGAAATGTTGGTAGAATATCTTGATAAAATAATAGTACAGGCAGAAGGCCTCAAATATAAAGAAAATTAAAAAGTTGGGTTTCTTCCTAAATAGATATGAGAAAATATCCTCTGTAGGAAGCCAGAGAAAAATAGCACATTAAATAAAATATATTATGGAAAAGTTCTACAAAGTTATTTTCTAAGTTGTGAAAGACGATTATCAAATTATATAACAAAGAATAAAATAAGCAAGTACTTAGGAATACTTGTCTCACATTTACCCACATGCGTGACTGCAACCACCTAAGATGAATATTAAAATAATGGTTTCTTCTAATTAAATTTCCAGATCTCACAAGAGCAGCCATCATTGAGAGAAACAAATGCAGGAACATGAGAAAATGGATTTTCAGAAACATAGATCTTGGCTTCTAATCATGATATCAAGGGAAATTTATACTCGGATAGTATTGATGCCAGGTTGCCAGGTTGAAAACAGTGAACGAAGCACAATAGATCTGTCTCAAAAAATGACTTTGAAAAAGTGCACATAGAAGACAAATAATAGAAGTAGATAAACTTCTTTTAAAAATGAGAACAAAAGCATGTAATCCCACCAAAAGAGCAACACACAGGAGGAGATATAGAGATAAATAAATTTTGGAGAAGTCAATAAATGTTGGAAGATAAAGTCAAATGAAATACTATAGAAATATGGATTCCTATGGAATAAAAATTATATAGGTATATGCAAAAAAATTACTATTCATTTATTTATTTATTTTTAGAGACAAGAGTCTTGCTTTGTTGCCCAGGCTGTAGTACAGTGGTGTGATCTACACCACTGTAGAGTTTAAGCTATTTGTTGTCAAAACCACAAGTTTTGAGACTTATACATATATATATGTACATACATGTATATGTGTATACATATATACACACATACGTATGTGTATACATATATATACACATACGTGTGTGTATACATGTATACCCATACGTGTGTGTATACATGTATACCCATATGTATATGTGTATACATATATACACGTACATACATATATATATGTATACATATATATGATTATACAGACACACAAAACCAAAGTTTTGAGACTTGTGATTTTGAACCCCTGGGCTCAAGCCATCTTCCCACCTCAGCCTCCTGAGTAGTTAGAACTGCAGGCACAAGCGTCCAGGCTTAGTTACTTTTCTTTATATTTTAATTAATTAATTAATTAATTAATTTTTGTAGATGCTGAGTCTTGCTATATTGCCCAGGCTGTTTTGGAACTCCTGACCTCAAGTGATCCTCCTGCCTTAGACTCCCAAAGCTCTAGGATTACAGGTGTGACCCACCATACATGGCCAAAAATATGGTAAATATTGAATGGTGAAAAACTTGTGGTTTTGACAACAAATAATTTAAATGTTATTTTATCCAAGAAACAAGATTGGGTATAAAAAATGACTTGTTTGACTATGGTGGAATTGAGTCTTAAAAAGTTTATGTAGAAAGAACCATGAAAGAGAGAGTTTCATCTTTCATGCTAAGAGTAAGGTATTTGGTATCACTGTAAGTATAGGTTGAAAGGAAAAAATATTTATTATTGTAAAGTGTACTCCCCTGCAAACAAATCAAAGTGGACATATTATTTGAGCATAAACTTTTAACTTGTAGCTACCAATATTATATATTATATATACTAATGAATTATGTGTATTATATATTATGTGAATATACATATCAGTACATACTTACACATATATGTATTATGCTATAAATTATATATATATCATTAGTGTTATACACTGATTTGTGTCCCTCCCCCAAAATTTGCATGTTAAAACCTTAAACCCTATTAAAACCTTAAACCCCAGTAACTGTATTTGGGGATAGGGCCTTTAGACAAGTAATTATGTTAGATCATAAAGATGGGACACTAATCCAAGAGGTTTGGCATCTTTATAAAAAGAGGAAGAGGCCAGGCACGGTGGCTCACACCTGTAATCCCAGCACTTTGGGAGGCCAAGGCGGGTGGATCACCTGAGGTCGGGAGTTTGAGACCAGACTGACCAATATGGTAAAACCCCGTCTCTACTAAAAATCCAAATAAAAACAAATTAGCCAGGCCTGGCGGCGTGTGCCTATATTCCTGGCTACTCGGGAGGCTGAGACAGGAGAATTGCTTGAACCTAGGAGGCAGAGGTTGCAGTGAGCCGAGATCGCACCACTGCACTCCAGCCTGGGCAACAGAGTGAGACTCCATCTCAAAAAAAAAAAAAAAAAAAAAAGGAAGAGACGTCAGACATCTCTCTCTCCCAGTGTGCATACAGAGAAGAGGCCATTGGTATACAGACTAAAGGTGGCCATCTACAAACCAGGGAGAGAGACTTCACCGGACACCAACCCTGATGAAACCTTGATCCTGGTCTTCTAGCCTCCAGAACTGTGAGAAATAATTTTTTGTTGTTTAACCCAGTCTGCAATAGACTGATATAATTAGTCATAATTTTCTATTACCTATGAATTACTAGCCTGAAATATACTTGATGAAAAGTTTCATGTGGAGTAACAAATAATTAGTGGCATGTAAGTAAAAGCAAACATTATAATTTTATTAAACAGTAATCTGTATGAGGATAGAAACTTTTGTCTTCTTTTCACTGCTTTATTTCAAGCCGCTAATGAATTAAAAGTTGCATGACAAAGAACAGCCACCAGTAGACACCCTGTAATGTAAAAGAGAAAAAATATTATGGTATCAGGAAAGAGAGGAATTACTATTGTGTGAGAGAATATATTATTTTAGTGTTAGTAGAAGAATATATATTTGCTTGTTGATACTATAAATGAGAAAATGAAGAATATGATAAAACTGCCACAGAAGGAAACTGCTCTGCAAGTTGACAGTTTTGCCGCAAAATTTTCTGATATCGCAAAGATGGAGATTTCAGTGGATTTTGGATAAAACAGCAGAAAAATGAAGAAATGCATCTCCTTAATAAGGAAAAGTGGTATAGATGAGCATAGATTTTCTGGTACAGTAGAACACCCCTAAGACATTGCTTGTTTCTTCCTAGGCTTATTCTTAGGCATCTCTTTTCATTTTTTAACACAGTCTTAATTTGGCTCTCTGCTCTTATGCTGTTAGGACTGTATTTCTTATATTGGCTTAACTATATTCTAACATTTATGTTGTAGGTTATCAATTTAGATTCCCTAAATTAATGTTGTCAAAACAATTATACAGTTATTGTCAATTAGTTTCTTATTACTAACTCTAGGAAAATACAATAAATTTAATTTGAAAAAGTGACAATTGAAAATCTTGTAACATATCATCTAAAATGTACTAGTTCTTGTGGTTTATATGTAACATATATATGTGTATACACACACACACACACACACACACACATATACACACACAGGCTTAATTTATTTGGTTTTTCTTTCCTGACTCTCAGTTGCTTAATACTCCCATTTAACTCTGCCAAATACTGTTTGGTTTGAAAATAAGTAACACTATCAATTTTATTTCAGTGTACTTTTAGGTTTGAACACTTTTAATGTCTAATTTGATTCTGAGTTCTTTCCCAAGCTGGTATTTCATCTTCTCCCTTGTTATGAGAACATATTACCTGACCATCTTTTCATCTTGACTACACAGAAGTTGATCTAAAAAACGTGTTCTCTAATATGGTCTTCTAAAGGAGAATGACATTTCTACGTTGGTTTACCTAAAATACAGGCTCTAAAGACATGGCCCCAAACCCTCTAGCTTTCAAAAGGCCCTATATTATTTTTTCTATAATCTCTAATTGTTCATTAATGTTTATGTCTTAGTTCGTCAAGAATTTTTAACTTTTTTGTGTATTGTGTAGCTTATAGAATATTAAAAAAAAATCCTCCTGTAGTCTCTTATTAAACTACTACTCTCCTTTGATTGAGACCTAATCAAAGTTCTACTTTCTCCATGGGTGATGCTATTTCCTATTCATTGTATAGGTGGTTTCTTAACTGCTCCTATTATACTGCAGAGCCCCAGCTATGCACATTGTACTTTCTTCATTGCTCTGTTTTTCTCTTTCTTGCTCCTGATACTTTTATTAGGCAATTTTTGATTGACTATATCTTTAGGTGAAAATGTTATTTAACTTGCCATTAGCGCTGAATCTCGGCAATGGTTATATGGCTGCCAAAGGAGTGGTTCATCCACAAAAGAAACAGTATGTAGTTTAGCTTGTTTCCCATGTAAATGTATTTTATAAATGGTGGAGAAAATAAAACCTGCAAGTGTTCTTGAGACTGGTTTTGTTTGTTTTGTTTTAATAAACCACCTAATTTAAGTTTACTTCCAGTTTGAAATGGGAAATTAGTTTCTCATTTCAGGAAAGATGTTCAATGGATCTCATAATCTAAATATTGTTCAACTGGACACTTTACAGGTTTTAGGCGAAGGCATGGGGGAGAAGAAAAAGGGTAGAGATGCCTATGAATGAATTATACTGCTAGGATAGTTAAACTCTAAACTTGATATGAGGTGAAGAAGAAATTAATTTACTAAGGGAAAATTTTAACGACCTGATAAATCTAAAATTGAACATAGCAGGTTGAAAAGATTTATAGTGATTAACAAAGATATTATAAGCCATTTATATTAGGTAATACTCATTTAAAAATATTCAACTTTACTCAATATAAATTATTAGTATGAGAACCAAAACCAAAATATTAATACTTTAAAGATCAAGGTGGTTTGGAGAAAGGGTGGTTACCAGGGGCTGGGGCGATTGAGGATGTATGTATAAAGGGGTATTGGGGAGAACTTGGTCAAAAGATAGAAAATTTCAGTTAGATAGAAAAAATAAATTCAAGGCATGTATTGTATAACGTGGTGACTACAGGTAATAATACGACGGTGACTATTGTACTGTTGAAAAATGCCAAGAGAGTAGCATTCCATTGATATTTCACAAATATCCTTTCACATTCTCAGGGTTAATAAAATCATTAATTTCCACGTGAAGAAATTAAAAAGTAGCACATATAATTTTAACTTTTGTCAATTTATAGTTGTTTTTAATTTTTAGTCACTTAAAAAATAATCTTTATATTTTAGAATAGTTATCAATTTACAGAAAACGTATGAAAATAGTAGGGTAGTTCCCACATATATTCCACATGCAGTTTCTCCTTTTGTTAGCACCTTATGTTAGTGTGGTATATTTGTTACAGTTAATAAACTGGTATGGATATACTATTATAAACTAAAGTCTACAGTTTCTTCAAAGTTATTTAGTTTTTTACCTAATGTTCTTTTTTTGTCCCAGATTCCCATCCAGGATACCACATTATATTTCGTTGTCATGTCTCCCTAGGCTTCTCTTGGCTGTGACATTTTCTCAGATTTTCTTGACTTTTGGTGACCTTGGAAGTTTTGATAAGTATTTATTTAGCATTTTGTAGCATATTCTTCAATTAGGATATTTCTCTTTTTTTGTTATTATTAGGCTATAATAATGGTTTTGATAGGAGGAAGCCTACAGAGGGAAACTATATTTCCAGTCAATCATTTGACGGGCTTATGCTGTTTTATGTTAATTTCAAAAGTTTTATCTTTCTTAGAAACAGGTTCTCACATTGTTGCCCAGGCTGGAGTGCAGTGGGGCAATCATAGCTCACTGCAGACTCCATTTTCTGGGTTCAGGCAATCCTCATGCCTCAGCCTCCTGAGTAAAGTAGCTGGGACTGCAAGTGCATACCCCCACAGCCAAATATATATATATATTTTTTTTGGTAGAGATGAGATCTTGCACTGTTGCACAGGCTGGTTTCAAACTGCTGGGCTCAAGCGATCCTCCCACCTCAACTTCTCAAAGTTCTGGAATTGCAGTCATGGGTCACCAACACCTGGCTGCATGCTATGTCACTGACGATGCTATCTTTGATGACCTGGCTGAGGTAGTGTTTCAGGTTTCTCCAGTGAAATGAATCATTTTTTCTCCCTTTTCGTATAGTACCCTTTGGAAAGTTGTCACTAAGCACAGCCCATATTTAAGAGGTGAGAATTGTGGCCACATTTAAGGGTAGCTCTTTGAGACAGAAGTACTGGTATTTTTTTCTAATTATAAAAATATTGATTGCAGATCACAGAACACTTTATAAAAAGGAATAAAGAATGAATACAAGTATCTATAATCAAATACATACATATTACATAATATCAGTGATTCCCATGTGCCAGTTGTAACATAGATGATATTTATTAACTTTGAGTTACATTATGAGAAATTTATTTTTAAAATGCTCTTTCAAACTTATGAGAAACTTAAAAAGGAAGTTTGGGGTTAATCTGTTATTTGCAACTGTCTAAAATGAAATCATTTTTAACACAGCTGGAACTGCCTCAGGTTCAGATATTTATAGATAACTGTTTCTACCTGAATCAAAATGATGGGATTTTGTTTTCATCATATTTTCAGGAACATGTCTATTTTTGACAGTAATGTTGACCTTCAAATTTTAATTTTAAAACATTTGTTTTGAACAGTCTTATTTCATTTAAAAATGAAATTGTAAAAGTAAAATTAAAAACATATAAGCAAATATAATACAGATTGTATACATAAATGGCAAAAATAAGGATGACAAATATTTGAGAAATATTAATTTAACATAAAAAGTAGCAAACTAGGCCAGGCACAGTTACAGGCTCACACCTGTAATCCCAGCACTTTTGGGGGCCTAGGCTGGTGGATCAGCTGAGATCAGGAGTTTCAGATCAGCCTGACCAACATGATGAAACCCCGTCTCTATTAAAAATACAAAAATTAGCTAGGCATGGGGGTGGGTGCCTGTAATCCCAGCTACTCGGGAAGTTGAGGCAGGAGAATCATTTGAACCCAGGAAGTGGAGGTTGCAGTGAGCTGAGATCACGCCACTGCACTCCAGGCTGGGCAACAAGAGCAAAACTCTGTCTCAAAAAAAAAGAAAAAAAGAAAAAAGAAAAACAGAAAGAAAAAAAGAGGTAACAAACTATATAAAATAAACTAAATAAACTGGGGTGTAAATATGTCTTAAAGTGTGCAGGCTTCTGTGTAAATATTAATTTTCTGCTTATGCTTGGCTGTAGAAACAATTTTATTAAAAATGTATCATATAAATTATGGTTTTTGGTTTCAAATTGTGATGTATCAAGGAAGCTATAAAATACTGGGTAGAAAGAAATAATTACACATTTGTTTATTGTCCATTCAGTGCATATGAAAGTTATTCATATTGTTCAGGTACCATTTCTTTGAGGTCCAGAAACACCAGAAACATTTTCTTCCTGTTCTTGAAAAAAAAAAGAAAGAAAACAAAAGCATGATTTCTAGGAATTTTGTATGTCACAGTCTAGGAAAAGATATTGGCACTATTACTCACAATGTCATGTCTTTTCAATACGGCTGTTTGTATTTGAGCCATATAGATTTTCTTGTCCCTAAAGTTCGCAACGTTATTTATTTAATGCTGGTTACAGTGTTACACAAGATGCTGCCTCATTCATTGTGCCACTTAAGAATGCTGCCTGCCAATGACTTTTTCTCAGAATTTGTTACTTTGCTATGTTGTTGATGACCACGAAGGCAAATATTACCCAAAGTATGCAGGAGCATGTGAAATATCATTTTAAAAATAAAAGGTCATGTTAAATATTCCCTTTGGGTTTTATTGTATAAACATAGAAAACAACTTCCAACTGTGTTTTTTTCTTTAACATTTTAGTTGTTACTTTATCTCTGCATTCTTAAATGTGATCTCTTTGAATGCTGGCCATACCCTTGCTTTTCAGGTACCGACGACCAGCAAGGAGGATAGATGAGAAATCCATTGCATTAGTAAGTGGTGTGGTCCCATTTCTGCAAGGAATGTCTATTCTATCTCCAGCATAGCTTAAGACCAATCTGTGAGGATTCTATTCCACCTCTACATTAATCAGCGACAAGAGAGGACATCAATTGTAAGAACCCATGGGTTTGAAAAGCCCTCAGAAAAGACTGAACAACTACTCCATCAGGGCTATTCTGGATTACTGCCTGACCACATGGTTCAGAGTGTAGGGGTGTGGGGTGATGGCTACCCTGGGTGTCAGGAAGGGAAACACACAGGTGAAAGAAGCCTGCTGCCCCCCACACACTGCCTAGGAGGCTGCACAATAGTGGGGACAGGGACAAGTGGAAGCTCTAACACAGGCCCATGAATGTTGCTCAAGCTTAAGAAAGGGATTGTGATGGACCAACTAACAAAAGGCCTGAGTCTAATCTGTGTCTACTGCATCATTCAAAATCAGGGAGAAAGAGAATTTGAAGGGCAAATGCAGGAATAGATTTTCAAAAAAGAAATTGTAGAAAAATTTATAGTGAGAGTTCTGTTGCAGTTCATCACCTGCCAGATCATCAGAGGATCTCAGTATACACTAAGACTTTTCAAAGTGTTTACATTTGGAGATGAGTTTAATTTCTATTCCATAACATACTCTATTTGCCCTGTTTTAGAACATGCAAGTTCAACTTTACTAGGGTCACTTTTAAGCCATATTTATATTTTTGTCACTTGCATTCTCATTTATACCTTTAAGTAGGTATTTATAAAACATAGACAAGTTTCAGGGTTCAACCTTATCCTTGATACTATTCTGTAATTTACTGATTTTCATATTTTGAACGCTTTTGATCTCTTGATTGACAAGGAATCATCTCAGAGCAACAGTCTCCTAGCTGAGTCATTACTTCTCAGCACTTTGGGATTATTGCTTTCTATTGAGGAGTGATTATTTAGTCGATTAGCCTATTCTATGAGGAATAATCTAGAATATGGCAGATGTATTATGCATTTTCTTTAGGCTATTATATTCAATGTCTAATGATTAATAAAGAATACATTCTTAACTTTATTACAGTTTAATATCACCAATATTTACCTTTTAGAATTTATCCTATTGACTACTTATACATGAATTTTGTTAAGCAGGTCCAACATCATAATGTATAATAGTTTTTTCACTAAAATGAGCATATTTGAATTCTTTTATTTATTATAATCATCAAAAGTACATAACTAGAGTTCAAAAGCAAACACATTTCTAATGATCTATTAGCTATTAAAGAAATTATTATTGAAACAAGAAAATGGATGTATAATTTTATAATTCAGTTTGCTCTTAATATTATATTGAAAATAATCTGTTTTCATTATGTCTATGAATTATACATATATATAAATCCCTTTTTATATTTAAACCCAATGTATTTAATAATTTCAACATATGGCATTCCAAGGTTGTGCATAATTAAATGATGGCAAATGGGTTCTGAATTATTGTTTAGTAACAACTAAAAAAGTGAAAACATAAAGTTGGAATAAACATGAAATAAATGCTGGATCCAAAAGTTGGAGAATGGGCCTGGCGAGGTGGCTCACGCCTGTAATCTCAGCACGTCGGGAGGCCGAGGCGGGCAGCACGAGGTCAGGAGTTTGAGACCAGCCTGGCCAATATGGTGAAACCCCGTCTCTATTAAAAATACAAAAATTAACTTGGCGTGGTGGCACGCAGCTGTACTCCCAGCTACTCAGGAGGCTGAGGCAGAAGAATCGCTGGATCCCAGGAGGTGGAGGTTGCAGTGAGCTGAGATTGTGCCACTGCACAACAGCCTGGGGGACAGAGTGAGATTCTGTCTCAAAAAAAAAAGTTGGAGAACGAATATATGTACATATATGCTTATATACATGTTTTGTATTTGTGTATATGTGTTCATACACATATATTCATAGTGACTTATATTAGAGCCATTATCATCTAGTACAAGAAAAACCTATGGTTCTGATCTAAGGTATACTAGTTGAGCAAGCTATTTAATATGATTAGATCTTATTTTTGTACTGTGTAATTTTTCATATACTTAAAAGACATTCAGGTTTCAAGAAATGCATTTTAAAAATTCAGTTTCTCTTTCTCTTCCAGTCCAACTCATTTTCAAAGCTTCTCCTTTTGCATTGCTTCTGTTTTTTCATTTCCCTACTCACATTTGGAGCTAGATCTGCCCCACTCACCCTCTACTGGACTAGATTCCATCATATACCTCTTTTCTCATCTATGGCTTCAAACCCTATCTACTAATAACATCCTTCAGCATAGACTCATGCCACAGAATGGGAGAAAATATTTTCAAAGTATACATCTGATAAAGTACTTTTGCCCAAAATATACAAAGAAATCTTAAATTTTAACAATAAAAAACTAGCAAACTTATTAAATGTAGGCAAAAGACCTGAACAGACACCTCACCAAAGAAGATGTACAGATGGCAAAAAAGCATGTGAAAAGATACTCAACATCATATGGCATTACAGAATTGTAACTTAAAACACTAATGAAATACACCCACATATACATTCTCGTGCATACCCATAGAACCGGAGAGACTTTTATGTGTTTATAATTTAGGAATGCTGAATTGGGCAAGTTCAAAAGTTTATAGAAAATATTATGAGCTTTGCAGTTTGGTAAATAGAAACTCTTCCCCTTTACTAATTGGAGGACTTTTTGGTCATAATATTCAATGTCTGTGAGACTGAGTCTTCTTCCAACGAATAAGTATAACAATTCATATCCCATAAATTGTCAAAATAATAAAAACTTCATGTATATTTTGTAGTGAAAAGAGTTAGTCAGCTTGCTTTAGGAAGACAGTAAGGGAAGGGCCCCTGGAGAACCTCAGACCCACCCCACAAGTGCTTTACAACAGATGTTTTGTGCAGGTAATGGGACTTGCACAGGGGGCTTGCCTAAATCTGTCTGCAGTGGACTAAGGACCTGTAGGCATACTGGGGGAATAGGGTGAAGCCACCAGGAAATTGTGTCTTATATGAATAGGGAACCTAGCCCCATCAGCTTATATATAAAAGCTCTTGTACTGAACTGTGAAAGGGGCAAGCAGAAACCTGCTTTCAGGACCTCTCCTTGCTGAGAGCTTTCCTTCTGCTTACTAAATTCTACTCTACTCACTCTCTGGTGTCTGCACGCCCAATTTTTCCTGGTTGTGGGACAAGAACCCGGATCTAGTTGAGCTAAAGAAGCAAAAATCCTGCATCAGTAACACATAATAGGGATCTTGCAAGTGCACGTTTCTACCAAATATATAAAAATTTATGTATTGTTGATAATATATACATATATGTGTGTATATACACATTTATGTTCTCATATGCATATATACATGTGTATATACACATATACATATGTATGCCTAACATAAATGATAAATTTAAATCCTAAAATCAACTCATCTGGCAGATTCTGTTTTCTTTATTTTGCAAAAGAGAGAAAGAGATTCAGAAGTACTGAATGACTTGCCCAAGGCTGCACCACTGGGTACTAGAGTTGGGATTCAAATCCCATCCAACTGGTCCCAGAACCAGGGCTTCTTACTTTGTATCTACTACTTTCTACTGTCTCCCTTCTCTGATCATCTCTGTATGACAGGTGAAACAGTAAGGCAAAATTTCGCCTAAATCGAGCTCAGTTAGGAACATGCTTTTGGAAATGTGACTAAATGTACACATTCCCTAAATGACCTTGAGAATGCTCTAAGTATTAATTTTGAAGTTTCACAAAAATCTTGTAAGTGATTAACAAAACTGGAATTTCTTTCTACACACGCATACACACACATCTATACCTACTTTTATATTTATACCTTTATTCCTATATCTGTAAGGATATATACAGTCAATCCTCATCACTCATGAAGTCTTTGTATCTGTGCTTTAAAAATGTAAGTAATGGTACTTGCTGGCCACCACTCTAGAATCTGTTCTCATATTTGAAACATATAGAAAGGATCACACTAAGAAAAAATTTTAAAAAATCAAATTAAAGTTAAAAAGTTATTAGAGCTTGACCTTCTGTCAGATTTTATTAATTTTGTCACTTCTCAATAACATAGTGCATGTAGTAGATTCTTCAGTTTATAATGGATGAAGCTAAAATATTTGTTTAAGCCCTTGTCACTAAGAAGTAGATGAACTAAAGTACTTTTAAGGGCAGTTTTAAGCCTCTTTTCTTATTATCCCCTAACTTTCCTCATTTAGCTAAAAAATTCGGTCAGATCCAAGGGTAAGGTGATTTACAACTAGAAATGAGTGAAGCTCTACAAATTGAGGACCCAGATAAGGTCAAATTTGTTAAGGATAAGAATTCCAAAGGGGTTGAAAAGATCAGCACATATAGATCCAATGTGGTTGTTTTTCTCTACCAGCTAAATCAAGAAAATACAAACCAATGCTTAATCTCCACATCTCTAATATATCATGAAAATGCTAACAAACAAAATGAAACAAAAGAAAATAGCATCCTAAGTACATAAATATTGACATCTGAGATTCATTTCTGACTTAAGAAGTCCATGGATCTGTTTTCCTGGGACAGCGGGCTCTGGGAATTAAGAAAGAAATACTTTCACTTACTTTCTCTTTCTTGTATTTTCTTGACAACTTGCTCATCTTTGATTATGTGTTTTCTAGAACTACAGTGGGAAGATTCATGATCCTAGGTGTTGGATATTTGTGGTTGGAGCAAACAGCTTGCAGCCATAAAAGCTTGCAACACATTCCCCATGGAAGGAAGTGATGGGTAAAGGACTCTAGCCCAGCCTACCTCACTAGAATGCTCTTTTAACATTTGCGGCCAAACCCTAGAAAAATTACAGAGGAGTGTCTTCTCCCCCCCATCACTTCTGTTATTGATATGCATATATATTTTCCTCAGGATATGGGAATAAATGCTTCATCAGGTATATCATTTGGTTGTTCCAGGATCCACTGACCAACATTAGATTTCTAGGTGCCATTTATATATATATTCATATTAAAATCACATCCTAGCATTCACAATGAGCCTGTGCTCACTTGATTCCTAATCCTATGATCTTTTCTACTATGATTTTCTTTCCTCAGAGTTATCAGTAGTCTTTTGATATCTTAAATTAGCAGTCCTCCACTCTTTTCTCAGGATATAAATTTAAAGCTTTTATATTCTAATTACCTTCTTTTCTACAGTCAAAATGTGTTCTGGGATAAGGGGTTCTCAGCCTAATGTTAATAGAATTTTTTAGCTATGGCATCAGAGATTCACAGATCTAAATACTATCTAAAATTTTGTCAAATTTGTGTTTTGGTATATGTATGTGCATTGAATACTACTTTGTAATAGAATCCACAGATTTTATTATATTGTTAACAATTACCACGAACCCTCCTAGGAATTTTAAGTACCAATGATTTAGAAAAAGTACAGCCATGAAAAAGAAATAATAAAAGTGTACTATAACAAAAACAATAATAATTTCTACCATTTATTGAGTTCTTAACATATTTTAAGTAGTATGCTGGGGGCATTATATACATAATCTAATTAATTTTTGTAATAAATTAGTGAAGGTTTTAAAGAAAGATTAAGAAACTGATTCTCAGAAAGATTAAGTATCTTCCTTAAAGCCTCATGCTAATTAGTGGCAGTGACAGGATTACACAAAGTCCTACCCGCCTAGTGCCTATTTCCTAAGCATATCATACTAATAACCTAATTCATGCATTGGCTAAATGACTTGTACAATTTGATATATTCTCTCTTCTAGGACAGGTGACAGTTATGTATATTAAGCCTAGAACAAAAGTTTTATTTAGCTATTTAGTGAGTGGGCAGTGATTGTCATCTTCAGTTTTACCACTCTCCTCCAAGTTGACCCATACTAAATAGCAGTATTTAGATAAAATTTTGGCCAGATGTCAACATGATTCCAAATTAAATTTTTGTGATCTCATTATAATTAGAAAATTATGTATGTCATTTTTAAGAGTAGCTTTCATTAGGAAGTCATATGAATGTATGTCCAATAGTTGAGACTGTTAAAAATTCATGCAAGGAATTATCTTGGTCATCTTTTCTATGTTGGTTACTTGAAGGGTAATTGGATTATTTGAGAAGGACCAAAACCTATTCCAGGTGAGCCATTTGCTGCATTACTCTGTAAGATTTTTTGATACTCACCTTTTTCAATGATAAAGAATAAAATTATTGAATCAGGTAATCTTTTTTTCCTTTCCTTTCCAATGAAAATGAATTGTCCCAACTTCTGCAATCTCTCTCTCTGTTGCTCACTCTCTCTGTGATCAAATTACTTATTGAAGCAACAACATTATAAAAATTACCTTTTGTTCTTTTAACATCTGAATAGAAGCTTACATTGAATGTGTATCATCTTTCTCTTAAACTATCTGTGTCTGAATATATACGCCAACTAAAACAAGCTCTAAGCACTTTGTAGACACGTTTTGCCTATTTAGTCTGATAAATGACCTCCATAGTAAGTGCTTGCTGTCCTTAATAATTTTCTCCTCTAAGATAAGACCTATAAAAAATAAACTACTTAAATAATTTGAAGTTTTAGTTTGATTTCCTAGATAAAATGTGAGATATTGTATATAGTCTATCTACTTATATTAGAAAAAATTAAGCAAAATAATCTCTTAGAACTCTACTGAGGTCACAAAATGCAATGTATAATTTGAGTCACTTTATCCAGAAATCCTTCAAGGATGAATTAAAATGCTATACAATTTTAACTTAAGGTCCTAAATTTGGAAAGTCTTCAACAATTAGCAATAAAATTAACTCACAATTGAAAATTATTAATATATATGCAAATATCCTAAATTATATCTGAGATATTTCCTTAAACATAGTGTTAGGTTCAGTAATTATTTAGATGTATGAAACAAATTTAAAGAAAAACAAGTGGCTTTTGAAATTCACATGTTCTGGTGTATATGCACATGCACATAAGAATATGCTTATGTGTACCACATTATTTCTTGAATTTTTCTGTTTGCTATAAAATTTCATATCATTTTGCGCAGTGTCATGCAAAATATTGTAGGATTCATTCAGGGCTGGGCTACATTCTGAAGAAAGGCAATAATCATTGTGTTGATTAAGGAGTTAATGATTGTTTATATGATTGAGATGTAGAATAAAAAGATAAAGAAGTGTTGATTATTTGGTAAAATATAAAACAAACACACCGGCAAATAACAGTACATTTTCCTCCCACTGTATATTTATTGAGGACCTCTTGTCAGATCTTGTGCAGGCAGAAATAATTTGACTATGGAGACAACAGCTGAAGCACTATTTATCTGCAGCAGTGGCAGACGAATGTCAATTTCTGTAATTATTCTAGAAAATTCAAAAAGCATTGGTTCTATCTGTCTATGCTAAGATGTAATTTATGATATCCATTACATGTAATACTTTGCATCAGCAGTACAAAGAGCGAGATTACTCAGTCAGGGCTGTAAATAGTGAAGACAATGACATCAAGTGCATTGGGGAATAGAGTTTGTCATTGAAAGTGAGGGTCAGGAGAGGATCTAGGCAAGGGCAAATAGATTAGAAAAGAAAGTATGATCATCGAGATAAATGAAGTGTCTTTTATAAGAAACTCTAATCTACTAGAGACTCCACAGTTAATGTATCATTTATATCAAATACAAGGAAGAGAAAATTAGCAAGGGAAAGTGATACTGAAATATTCATAGTCAAATTTCTAGCAGTGCTTTATCACCCGCATTTGTGGATGAGAGTTAATTTTATGCATTGTTATTACTAAAATTACCTCATGGATAATTATAAATATGTGCCTATATCTAAAATAGTTAATATATTATCTGAGTTTTATGAGGTCGTATTTAGCTCAATTTAACTTAGTGTGGAGGCTTTCCTAAGATAATTTCTTTTATATGTGGGTAAATTAATGATCTTCTTGATTTATATTTTCTTAAAATAGATGTATCCCCACACAGAAGTATAGGTTGTACACTTGTAATCTTCATTTAGTACTTTAACTAGAGCTAAATTTTTTTTTTCAGTAAACAAGAGTTAAGTCTTGGCTATGCTTGACAGAAAATTTCTATCATCTAAACAAATAAATAAAAATAAAGTTAATTAATTGTATTTGGTATTTAAAAATATTTAAGTTGCATAAATATATATCATATGCAAGTTTATCAATGTATTTTTAAAGGATTTATGGCCAAAGCTAATATTTGAGCAAGTAATGTCTTCCATGAAGATGTTATTTATTTTTTCATTGTCTAATTTTTCAGAATTGGCTAGGTGGTTGCATGGATATAGGTATTCAGATGGAACACTGAAATTAATTTTTGATTCTATAATTCTGCCTGAAATCACATTGTCCTATTAAATCATCATTAAATAATTAAAACATGCTGTATGGTTTTATTCTTTTCATGTTTTTAACCTAATAATCATGTAATTATGTTATGAACAGATTCTATCCCCCACGGTTGTTGTAGTCTATCAAAGAAATGTTCACATTATACAGCGGAAATAATAGTACACTGGGACCCTTAGGTTATCTTGGTGTTTTCTAATCGTTAAGTTGTTGGAGTTGTCAGTTCCACACTTTGTGAACTTTCAAATAATTATTAATCCTTGGAGCTCAGACACCATTCCCCAGGCATGGAATTCACTGATAACTTTAATGGAGTCTAACATGGTCCCACGGGTTAGAGATGTATAACTCATAAGTGAATGTACCCCAGCAGGTTGTGCAAAGATCACTCTATAGGTAAAAGTTAAAATAAGTGTTTGATCATGTTCATACATGGAACAAATTAATATGAACCTGAAGGCAATTCTCTTGTGTCTAATTCTTAGTGTTTGGAGAAAAATAATTTAAACATTGTGAAATTCAACAATACAATTTTCCTGAGTTTCACAGGGCAATAGAACTTGGTAAAAATAAAACAGTTTAACTTGTGTTTATATGTATGCCTTCAGTATAAGAGTGTGCAGCTCTTCCCGGCTAAAACGGTGAAACCCCGTCTCTACTAAAAATACAAAAAAATTAGCCGGGCGTAGTGGCGGGCGCCTGTAGTCCCAGCTACTTGGGAGGCTGAGGCAGGAGAATGGCGTGAACCCGGGAGGCGGAGCTTGCAGTGAGCCGAGATCCCGCCACTGCACTCCAGCCTGGGCGACAGAGCGAGACTCCGTCTCAAAAAAAAAAAAAAAAAAAAAAAAGAGTGTGCAGCTCTTATAAAAATCTACAAAGTGTACCAGAAAGTGTACTTTTACAATAAAAAAGTACAGGATCTAGACTTAATAGTGCAGGATACAGGGTTTGATTGCTGGATTTAATTCCCGACTCAACTGATTTATAACTATGTAAATTTAGTCAATACTTATAAACTCCCTATAAGCCTGCTCACTTAAAAAAATCTGTGTTATGGATTAATATTCTCCCTTCTGGAACTCTGACCCTAAAGTAAGTCAAAAAATTTGCCCAGATATCATTATTTCTTCTGTAAGATGGCATGTCATCTATATTTTAGTGCTGTGATGAGGATAAAGTAAATTATTATAAATAGAAGAGTTTTGAATTGTGCGATCACTTTGCAATTTTTTTATTCCAGCCAATAAGTGGAAATTCAAATTGACTGGCCCCAGGAGTGCCATTAGTAGCCTTGAGTCAAGGAAAGTTAATTGACCCAATTGGGAATTTGAACCCATTTTTTGGCTTCATTAGCACAATTCTCTTGACAGCTGGGTTAACTGGTCATAGACCCAAGCTGCCAAAAACAGAGCTGCTATGTACTGTAGAAATAAACTGACATATTGAAAACCATTTCTGTAAGAAACAGTTTTAAAGTATTTTACTTCCATATTACCTATCTCATAAGCTGAAATCTATGGTGATTATTGTCAAAGTCACCAAGTGAACAACAGAGTTTTGTAGCCTTGACTATTCTTGTATATAGTTTTAAATAGTTATTAATAATATATTTTTTTAAAACATCAACACACCCATCAAAGCACAAAGCATAAGTCTTGTCAAGGAAAGAATAAAAAAAAAACTGATTGAAAAATTTCCAAGCTCAAAGAAATAAGATTTTTGCTTACCCTCTCAAAATTTAAAATTGGATGAACAGAAATAAATTTAATTTTCCAACATTTCACTCCATTAATGGAGATCCATCATACAGAATTTAGCATAAAGAAGATATTTTACATCTCATAAATATTTTATAAAAGAAAAAATAAAATTTCTGAATTATTGCTATAAATAAAATTAGTGGTAGCTACAGCATATTATTTGAAAAATTGAATAATTTTTTTTATTGAGATTTTGGTGTCTTTTTTCTCATTTAGATTTGTTTGTAAAGTCAGTATTAAAGAGGATAATCAACCCTGGTTTTATTTCTTACATCAAAAATTCTGAATGAAAACAAAAGATGATGAGACAAAATAGATAAATGGTAATATCATCAATTTAAGCAGTGTGCACTAATTTCTATCGTAGTAAAGATACATATATTCTATTTTCTAAGTTGTTTTAAGAGTGTTTACATTTCAAGAGATGGACTGCAAAGAAAATATGCTCTTTTTTAAATTAGTTAAGCAACTTTGAAATTCTATGCCAACATAAGAGTTTTACATAGAATTCCAAATACAATAAGAGCTTATTGACTGGTTAAACTGCATAGTGTTTGAAAATTAAGCAACTTGAAAACCATGCTTAATTCTCCAGGGTATCATGTAGAGAAACTAGAAGCACATATGCACTGTCCAAATAGTCTCCTAGTGACCCAAAATGTTTAATGTGGATTTTTTTAAGGAAGAAGATTGTGTACTCGCTTCCAGCCCAATAATTAATACTTAATTTTAATTTTATAATAAATGTTTCATATACGCAGAAGTTTGTATTTAAATTACATTATGTAAATACCAACAACTAGAAAACAATTACAGAAAGTAAATGCCTTTTAAACACTAAAGACATGAAGTAAAACTATGGAACAACTACTTTTTTCTATGTACAGAAAACCTTAGCAATTCAGGATTATCTCAAAAGAAGTATATTCTAAAAAGCCCACAAAATTCTGAATTACTTGTTAGGGCAAAAATTATAAAATATTTTAACCAAAAATACATATTAAAATGCTAACTTGATATTGATGAACAGTGAGTTATGAGCAGTAAGTGGCTCTAGTGTTTATTCTCTTAATCACAGGACAAGAAGTTTAAAAGAGCAAGCCCCAAAGACAAAACCATCCCAAAAATATTAGCTTGAAAACATAAAGCACTTTCTAACAATTGAAGTCTCATGATACCAGATAAACTTTCTTATGTGAACGTCAGTTCCATCTCCTAGAAGGTAAATAAAGAACAGGTAATCACCCTTCAGAGAAACTGAAAAGAAGAGAATTATACATGCTAGTGCTCACGTTTTGTTGTTCAAGGAAGGAAAGGCAGTGAATGAGTTTACTGGTAGGTATATTTTCTCTCACAGATAATGGAATCATACAAAAATACAAAATTTATTTTTAAATAGCCCTTTTTTCCTATTTTTTCATAGATTCAGAAATAGTTTGGTTACCACTGAGGCATGTTTAGGTTGATGTTTCAAAGAAGCATTTTTAAAACTTCTGCCTGAGAGAGTTATTTTCAGTGTTAGTCTGCTAATTATCTCTCAGTCCATTTTACCATTCCACTTTTTTGTTAAAGAGCTTGGTTTAAGAAGGGGAACTGGCCAAATAGTGAGAAGCCACCTTTCCTAGCCTCTGTGCAGTTAGCTGTGGCTTCTGACTAAGGTCTATTCCATCACTGAGTGCAGGGGTGTGAACAACTTCTGGATCACATCCTAATGAGCATCAGTTTTCTTTCTGCTTTCTCTATCCTACCCCACAGTCCAGATAGCAGAAATTGTGGGTAGGAATCCACTACAGCATTGCAGGCAAGGATCAGTGGGGGATAGCAGATGGGAAGGCAGGAGTTCTTAGTTTTACAATTCACTACATTTTGAGTTCTTTCTATTGAAACAGCTTTTTCCGTGATTTAACTCAGTGGCTTTGTATGTTTGGGTATGTGAAGAATATTTGGAGAGTATGCAAGCATGGCTGAATTTAAGGAAAATAATTTTCAGCCCTTTAAACCTCCACATATATTCTTTAAAAACATGATTTGCCTGAGAACATGTCTGAGTTACCAACAGCTCTTCAGTTTTGCAAAAGAAAGGCACACTTTGTCAGCACCCCTGCTCTTAGGATAGTGTGATGCTTTGGCTATGGAAACCCATGTGATATACAAAATGGGAAGTTTTCTTTAACGATTGATCAAGAATTCATAAATGCACATGACTTTACTCCCTTGTTATAACCATAATTAAGTAGTGTGAGTAAACAGAGGAAACACACTCAGGCAATTGGCTCTAGCATTTATTTTCTTAATCATGAGACAAGAGCTCCAAAAAAGCAAGTCCTAAAGACAAAGCCATCAAAACAAAACTCTGCTCACTGAATCTTTGTTTCTTAACCACATCCACAATCTTCTCCATACACTTCTCAATGTGTGAAGCCTGATTTGCAGGGGGGAGTGGGGGTGGGGGTTGGGATTATTGATTGACTTTCTCTGAAGTCCCAGTTTTAAAATAAAAATAACCCAAAATAAAAATTTTGGGAACATTTACTATATGCCAGGTCCCCTACTAAGCCATTTACAAAGATTTACAATTATTCTATGAGAAAAATATTATAATCCTCATTTTACAGCTGACTGAGTCACAAAAAGTGAAGGAATTATTTTAAAGATAGCATAAGAAGTAGGTGACTAAGTAAGTGTTCAAATCAACTCGGCATGAGAGTTGTTAGTTTGCATTTTATGTAACCCAAGAACTCATTGATAGTAGCATCTCTGATAAATAAATATCAGTAAGAATGAGCATGGATTATGCTTAGGAGCCTTTTAAAACTTTATAGTCTATGAAAGGCCATATATTTTCTTAAGTAAATAGCCTTTTACGGTTACCAGGACATCACAAAAAAAACCATAAAATATTAATGTCAAAATGTTAATTCTCTGTATATTGACAACGATAGCTATTTTATTTATACCTATATAATCATTAAGTAGTCATGGTAGATGCCTGTCTACTTAAATCATGGCTTTTTAAAATGGAAATCTATTCTGCTATGAATCTTCACATAGAATCATGTATCACTTAACAATGGGAATACCTTCTGAGAAATGAGTCAGGCAATTTCCTGGTTGTGAACATCAGAATGTATTTACACCAAACTAGAGGGTGTAGCCTCCCTATACCTGGGATATACAGGAGAGCTTATTTCTCTCAGGCTACAAACCTGTACAGCATGTTACTGTACTCAACACTATAGGCAACTGTAACATAATGGTATTTGTATATCTAAATATATCTAAACATAGAAAAGGCACAGTAAACATATAATTTAAAATATTAAAAAATGGTAGACCTCTATAGGACACTTACCATAAATGGAACTTGCAGCACTGGAAGTTGCTCCGGGTGAGTTAGTGAGTGAGTGGTGAGTGAATGTGAAGCCTAGGACATTACTGCCTACTACTGAAGACTTTATGAACACTGTACACTTAGACTACACTAAATTTATTTTTAAAATTTTCTTTCTCCAATAATAAATTAACCTTAGTTTACTATAACTTTTTACTTTATAAACTTTTTAAACTTTTTGACTCTTTCATAATAACACTTATTTAAAACACAAACACATTGTATAGCTGCACAAAAAATATTTTCTTTCTTTATATCATTATTGTATAAGCTCTTTTCTATTACAAAATTATTAATTTTTTATATTTAAATTTTTTTGTTAAAAACTATGACACAAACACATTAGCCTAGACCTATGTAGCTTCAGGATCATCAATATCGCTGTTGTTTGCCTCCACATCTTGTCCCACTGGAAGATTGGCAATAATGAACATGAAAAAGTCATCTTTTATGATAACAATGCCTTCTGGAATACTACCTGAAGGGTCTACCTGGGACTGTTCTAGAGTTAATTTGCGAGCGCGCACACACACACACACACACACACACACACACACACACACATATATATGTACAAGTAATACACTGAGATAATGACAAGAAGTGTAGTATAGTAAATACATCAACCAGTAACATAGTTGGTTATTATCATTACTAAGTATTATGTACTCTATATAATTGTATGTTCTATACTTTTATAATACTGGCAGTACACTAGATTTGTTTGTGCCAATATCACCACAAACAGGTGACTAATGCTTGGCACTATAACTTTAATAGCCATTGGACAGTAGGAATTATTAATTTCCATTGTAATCTCATGGAGACACTGTGGTATATGCAGTTAGTCATTGACCGAAATCATGTTATGCAGTACATGACAATGTAAGTATTTGGGTAGGCATACATTTATATTTCTCACGGATAAATATCTAGAATTGAAAGCTCTGGGTTGTATAGGTAGCTATTTGCATAACTTTATAAGTAATGTAAATGAGTTCAAACGTTTTCCGAAATAATTTCACTATCTTAAACTCCCTCTCCTACCAAAGCTACATGAGTGTTCTGGTTATCCAAATCCACACCACTGCTTGGTTATCTCAATGTTTTTACTGTTAGATATCATAGTGTATATATAGCTATGTGTTATGCTAATTTTAATTTGTATTTTTCAGAAGAATAATTTTTGAGCTTATTTTACATGTTCATTGGAAATTTATTTAATTATGTAAATTGTTCAAAACTTTTGACCATTTTATTTGGTTGTTGTCCTATTACTATTAAGTTATAAGAGTTTTAATTTATTTTTATACAAGTCAGAAACATCTGTTTTCAATATGTTATCCAAAGTCTGAAGAGTCTTTTTCCCCTTGTTTCTCTTTAAGAACAAAAAGTTTTCGATTTGGCAAAATGAATATTCTTATTGTTCATGCTTCTTCTGATCTTTCTCTTCCTTCAATGTTATGTAGATATTCTCATAGTCCTTTAACAAATGTCTTAGTTTCACTTTTATGTTTGAATATGCCATGATCCATTTCCCCAGTTAAGTTTTCATATGGCAGGTTATGCTCAAGTCCATTTCCCTCCCCCATAAAAATATAAAAGATTTTAGCATCATTTGTGAGAAACACTGTCCTCTACTACACTTAATATTCTTGGAGTCTTGGCCAAAATCATTCGAACATTGATATGGTTAGGCTTTGTGTCTCCACACAGATCTCTTCTTGAATTATATCAACATAATCTCCATAATTCCCACTTGTCAAGGGGGAGACCAGGTGGAGGTAATTGAATCATAGGGGTGGTTCCCCATGTTGTTCTCCTGTTGGTGAGTAAGTTCTCACAAGATCTGATAGTTTTACAAGGGGCTCTTCCCGCTTTGCTCGTCACTTCTCCTTCCTGCCACTTTGTGAAGAAGTTGCCTTGCTTCCCCTTCACTTTCTGCCATGATTGTAAGTTTTCTGAAGCCTCCCCAGCTAGGCAGAACTGTGAGTAAATTAAACCTCTTTGCTTTATAAATTACCCAGTCCCAGGCAGTTCTTTATAGCAGTGTAAAACAGACTAATACAGTAAATTGGTACCAGAAGTGAGGTGCTGATATAAAGATATCCAAAAATGTGGAAGCAACTTTGGAACTAAGTAACAGGCAGAGGATGGAACAGTTTGGAGGGCTCAGAAGAAGACAGGAAGATGTGGGAAAGTTTGGAACTTCCCAGAGACTTGCTGAATGGCTTTGACCAAAATGCTGATAGTGATATGAACAATGTAATCCAGGCTAAGGTGGTTTCAGGTGAATATAAAGAACTTGTTGGGAACTGGAATAAAAGTGGTTCTTGCTATGCTTCTGAAAAGAGACTGGTGGCACTTTGTCCCTGCCCTGGAGATCTATGGAACTTTGAACTTGAGAGAGATGATGTAGAGTATCTGGCAGAAGAAATTTCTAAGCAGCAAAGTGTTCAAGAATGACTTGGCTTTCTTAAAAACATTCAGTTTTACGCATTCACACAGAAATGGTTTGGAATTGGAACTTAAGTTTAAAGGGTAAGCAGAGCATAAAAGTTTGGAAAATTTGCAGCCTGACAATGTGATAGAAAAGAAAAACCCATTTTCTGAGGAGAAATTCAAGCTGGATGCAGAAATTTGCATATGTAATTAGTTGTCAAATGTTAATTGCAAAGATAATGGGGAAAATATCTCCAAGACATGTCAGAGGTCTTCATGGCAGCCCCTCCCATCACAGGCCCAGAGGCCTAGGAGGAAAAAATAGTTTCCTGGTCCAGGCCCAGGGCCTTGCTACTTTGTGTAGTCTTGGGACTCGGTGCCCTGCATTCTAGTTGTGGCTAAAAGGGGTCAACATACAGCTCAAGCCATTGTTTCAGAAGATTCAAGCCCTAAGCCTTGACAGCTTACACATGGTATTGGGCCTACAGGTGCACAGAAGTCAAGAGTGAGGTTTGGGAACCTCTGTCTAGATTTCAGAGGATGTATGGAAATGCTTGCATGTCCAGGCAGAAGTTTGCAGCAGGGGTGGAGTCCTTATGTCCTTATGGAGAACCTCTGCTAGGGAAGTGCAGAAAGGAAATGTGGGGTCAGAGGCCCCACACATAGTCCCCACTGGGGCACTGCCTAGTGAAGTGTGAGAAGAGGACCACCATCCTACAGATCCCAGAATGGTAGATCCACTGGCAGTTTGCACCATGCTGCTGGAAATGTGGCAGACACTCAATGCCAGCCCATGAAATCAGCCAAGAAGGGGAATGTACCCTGCAAAGCCACAGGGACAGAGCTTCCCAAGGCCATGGGAAGCCATTTCTTGCATCAGGAAGCGTGACCTGAATGTGAGACATTGAATCAAAGGTGATTACTTCAGAGCTTTAAGATTTGACGGTCCCACAGGATTTTGGATTTGCATAAGGCCTGTAGCCCCTTTGTTTTGGCCAATTTCTCCCATTTGGAATGGGTGTATTTACCCAATGCCTGCACCCCCACTGTATCTAGGAAGTAACTAACTTGCTTTTGATTTTACAGGCTCATAGGCAGAATGGACTTGACTTGTCTCAGATGAAACTTGGGACTTGGACTTTTTGGTCAATGCTGGAATAATTTAAGACTTTGGCAGACTGTTGGGAAGGCATGATTGGTTTTGAAATGTGAAAGGAACATGAGATTCAGGAGAGACTGGGGCAGAATGATGGATTATAATCCCCATAATCCTTATAATCTCCACCTGTCAGGGGAGAGACCAGGTGGAGTTAATTGAACGATGGAGGTAATTGAATCACCCCATGCTCTTCTTGTGATAAATAGTGAGTTCTCACAAGATCTGATAGTTTCATAAGGGACTCTTTCCTTTTTGCTTGGCACTTTTTCTTCATGTTGCCTTGTGAAGAAGGTGCCTTGTTTCTCCTTTGCCTTCCACCATGATTGTAAGTTTCCTGAGGCTTCCCCATCCATGCTGAACTGTGAGTCAATTACATCTCTTTTCTTTATAAATTACCCAGTCTCAGGAAGTTCCTTATAGCAGAGTGAAAACAGACAATACAAACATATATGTGAGATGTACTTTTCGACTTAAAAAAATTATTTTGCTTTTATATATATTCATTCTTACTCTAGTAACACATTGTCTTGATTATACTATTTTAAAACCCATTCATATTTATTTTGTTATGGTTCTTTGTCTAGATTGTTTTTGAAATTAAGTGATCCTTGCATTTCTGTACAAATTCTAGAATAAATTGTACAATTTCTGCCAAACACATGCTACATTCTAATTTGAATTGTATTAAATGTATAAATTAGTTTGGGATAAGTTGATATCTAAACCATATTGAATACAAATATGACATAAAAAATCTATGCATTAATACTTTAAAGGAAGAAAATGAAAATAAATGCAATTCCAGTTATAATTACTAGTGCATTTTAATTTTGGAAAAGTAGATAAATAATAGATAAAAATTGAATTAGATATTTAGTTTACATATCTATGATATATGCAAAATATATTAAAAAATCAATCATGCTATATTATTTTTAATTGAGTTTTTTCATATGAGTGCTATAAACATCTAAATATGACCATATTAGAAAATATAGATTTATCTTTTTTATGTTTGTGCCTGCACATTTTTTTATTATATTTATACACCATCATTGATTTATTTTAGAACATTCAGAATGCTTCTATTTTTTCTCTTTTCCTACATAAAAAACCCTATAATAAAATCATGTTTGGAAACATGATTTAAAAAAGAAATTTGATATATCAATCTACTTATAGCAATAGGATAAATTCTTAAAAGTGTATTTTCTAGATTAGTATATTTTAATTTTTCATGTGCACATTAAAAAAATACCAAACACACTTCATAAATACTGGCACAAGTTAGATTTTCACAGCAATATATAAGAGGGACCATTTCCATAAACACCTGCAAACTTTAAGTATTATCAGAGTTTTCCAGCTTTTTGCATTACTTTTCAAATTACTTTAGTTATGATCTACTGATAAAGTTGTGAAGGACTTATTCCAATGTACTAAGACCTATCAGATATGTAGTGATTAATTTAAGGTTTTTAATGTTTATGTGAGGCCAGAAAAGTATAAATTCTGAAAGTAGACTTTAAAAATAATTATATGATTCATTTGTCTTCCATGGCAAACGAATCACATAATTAAATATATCTGAGTACTTTTATGTTTGCCAAGTACTGTTTGAACATTACAGTGAATTTTGTGAAGAATGAAGAGAAAAACAACATTTTTCATAGAACTAATCCTCAACTTACGAGTGTTGGGCATGTAATAACCTAATAAAAAGTGTTATAAGAAAATTATCAACTATTTTAGTCATATTCAAGAAATATTTATTTAGCACTTATTCTGCTTAGGATATATCATTGAATAAAGCTGAGAAAATTTCCATCATTGTGGACCTCATATTCTGTAAATAACTACATAACAAATAAGTACAACTTATTATATGTTATTTACTTGAAAGTTTATAAAACAATAGTCCAGAATTTGGGGAATTAGATGGCATTGATAGGTATTGCACAGAGAATTTTGATGGAGGATTATGGCAGAATGATGAGCAATTACAAAATAAGTGATATATAAGCTGAGATTTAAATGACAAAAAAGAAAACATTAATTTGAAGATATGCAGCCAGGAAGAATAAATAGTGCAAAGGTACCACAGCAGGAATGAAGTGGACATATCTGAAGTAAAAATAAATAGAAGGCCCATATGCTAGGAGCTTAGAGGCAATAAAAGAATCACAGAAGCTGATGAGTCTGAGAAGCAGATATGGGCTATAAACATCAGTAAGAGAGATATATAAAGAATAGCTCATTCTTTCCGATCATGTAATATATCATCTAAAAAAACTAAATTTCCTTAACCTTCATAAATATCCATATAATTTCATTTTTGTGTATGCCTGTGTGTGTATGTGTTTCTGGAAACAATCACACAGTGACATGAATAATAGTTCTGAGTTCATGTTATTATTTTATTCCACTGACATTTTAATAAGATTGGCTAAATTTTCCGAATTGTTCCAAAAGAGATGTCATGAGCACGTCCATTTGATTTGTTATACCCAGTGGTGGCCAGAAAGAATTAAGATATATGCCAGGGAAGTTGTAACATTGGATGAGAGAAGCAGGTCACAATGTGTCTGAGAAGGAAATGATATAAAGAGAGGGTGGCATGTTACTGAAATGCCAAGAGCAATGCTGTGGCAAAATGTGAATTGAGGTAAGACTCAATCCACAAATTTGGATGTGCATAGACATAACTTCTTTTATACTTATTTAACTCAATTTAATTTCTGTTATGTCTTTATTTCACCAAAGGAAAATAAATTAAATGTGATCCCTTTCTATTATCTCCTATTTTAATTATGGTGCATGGATTGAGAGAAGAGAGATTATTTTGCCTTCTTTATCATCTGTCTATGCTGCCAATTCTCATTCCCATTAGCTGGTGTTGTCCTCAACTATCAGTGCCACACAAGTTGCCAGTGAGTTTCCCTCTGCAATCTATTTTAGATCTGCATTCTTTCTCCCCTACATTCATATCAATAATAGGAGCATCATATTCATTCCACTCTTAAGCAGGTCTGTCATTTTTGGAGATATAGTCTTCCACTTTTTTCTCTTTCCTATTTCTTGCAGTTGGATCTGGGAAGCATGAAATAACACTGCTCTGCCCTGACATTTCTTAATGTACATGGCTATTTCTTGATGTTGCTATCTTCTTTCTAGGGTTTAACAACTTCAGAAAACTTTCTTAGGGTTCAGAGCAAGTTTATTTATTTATTTTTTTAAACCCCTGTTCCCAGGAAGCCGTCAATACATGTTAATTTGCTTTCCTTCTTATTTTTCTATCCCCAATTACATTCACCCCAGAAAAATAGTTTCTATTTTTTTTTATTTTTCGGGTCTCAAGAATAAGACACTGTTCATCTATTAATCTTTTTTCAAAATTATTTTCAGTGTTATGAATCCTTATGAAAAATTTAAGCTGTTTTTGGGTTTTTCTGCCCACTGCTTTTACATCCCTCCCATAAGTGAATGAACACAGCAGAAATGTCATCTGATTTGGTGATGGTAGTACGTGCGCGCGTGCGTGTGTGTGTGTGTGTGTGTGTGTGTGTGTTAGAAGGGGTGTTTAAGCCCAGGATAGATCAAAGGACCCAAAATACAGAATCTAAGACAAGAAAATATGTTTATCTTTCAAATCGCTATGCTGCTGCTAATTAATAACTTGGCAAATTGAGATCCTAGGCTAGAACAGAAGATTGAAGAATTTTGTCTGAGGCAACTCGAATTAGCAAAACATTTAAGTACTGTCCTATACATGCCTTTCAAACACTTGCTACACTTGGCCCACAAAACACAATGATTTTAAAAATTTTGCTTTCACGTAAATTCATTCATTTGAGAAGTCCTTTGAGACTTTAGAATAAAGTCTAAGGAAAAAGGCAAAAAACAAAAAGCATAGCTAAACTTTTAAAAATCCAGTTAAGAGTTTTATTAATTTTAAGATAAAGAATATAAGACCCCCATTTTTGCTCACCATTCATGTAATACATTATAGTAATTTGTAAGAAATAGTTTTGTGAATAATGATAATTTTAAGAACTTCCAAGAACAATGGAGTGAGATGAAAGCCCGTGGAAAAGAAGTTTTCTTTTATGTCTGAGGGTTTGCGTTTACCTTTTAATTAACTTGTCTATATAAAAACTTTTCATAACAATGAAATCAAGTATGGAAAGAATCTTTAGCTTATCCTTTACCTCTCATTGAACACATCATGGAAAAGTCTTTGGGTGCCATTAGCTATTATATACGTCTTTAATATTATAGAACAAAACAATGAGTATTAGAGCTAATTTAAACAATTTACAAGGGAAGGATAAAAACTTCCTTGTTAAATATAATTGATAGAACAAACCTAATCTGAAAAGTTAACAAGCACTCCAAAACTACTGAATCAAGTAAAGAGTGATACACCTAATATAATTATGTGTAGTTAGAAGCCATATTCTTTTTATATATTAAAATCCGGATTTCATTATGGCAGACAAAATCTGAATTGAAGACATTGAAGATTATATTATGTGATATCTGAATAAAGGTTTTTAATTGATTCACAATTCACATTCATTTTTGTAGTTAAACAGTATTTTTATGAAGTATTTGTTTTGAAAAATCACTATAAATTTTACTTTGCTTACTAAATATTATTTGGGTACCTAATGTGTGAAAATGTTTTGCTTTTCAAAACATTGAATAGTCATTAGTCTATTCAATACTAATGACTAATTTTTTAAGCAAAGTAGAACTTTCATTCCAAATTTGTTGTTCTCAGTATATGTGTTTAATATCACGCATTTGCTCTTCTTGATCGAATTCAATTGATGTCCAACTTCCTCTTTACAAAAATGTTATTATCTGTTTCCCATTAGTTGCTTATTTTCAGTACAGCCAATGCAATTCCTTTTTAGTTTATTTGCAGATCAGACAACAATTAGGTTTAGATATGAATAAGTGATCAAGGCTTTGCTGCGATTAAGTTCTAGTCATGTCTCCCTCCCTGTTTTATTTTGTTTATTTTTGTTCTATTTTCTTGTATCACTGTGATAAGGGAAAAAGCCTTATAAAATATGATCTCATATTTGAATATCCAAAATACCTTAAGCATACAAAGAAACAAATAGATTTCTCAACCAATGAAGAAACTTATTTCCTCTCTCATGAATAAAGCAGTCAATTCAGGAGGCTATTAGGATCCAAAGAATGCATTACTATTTACAATGCTTATCTCTTACCACTTCAAGCCTGGTTCTGAGTTAAATACAACTCTGGAGTGACTGGAGGCATTAAATATCCTGCTCTGTGCTTTGAAATACAGTGACTCTGACGATGCTGATCTTTAAGGTCAAAAAAATGTGTTCTTTAAAGTGTGATAAACATAATCTCTGTTAGGTTTTATTGATCTGAAAATATCATGGTGGAGCTCTACCTTATTGCATTGCATCAAAGTTTACATGGCCTTAAACTCTGATATCCCACAAGGAAGAGCACACAATGTTTTATGCACTAAGGAATATGAGATAAAATGAAAAAAGAAAAAAAGGGAAAAACAGGAATTACACTGAGACACCTTGCAGTATCTCGTTTTGCTCACAACTTCATGGCTTTGTCATTTTTCCTGTTTTAGTGTACTGTATTGTGTGTTTATTGCTAAACGTTTTTAGAAGAACAAATATTTCGAAATAAATATGCATCTCTAATTTAGTCATCTTTAAATTTCCTCAAGCAGCTTTCAAACAAAGTACAAACTTATTTTCATATTTTGATACAGTAAAACTTTAAGCCGTTGGTCTCTGCCTGTGTTTTCAGTATTGTTTCTTTCTTCTTCTTCTTTTTTTTTCTTTTTTTTTTTTTTTTTGAGATACTAAGTTAAAAACTATTATTCTTTGGTTCTTTTTTATTGATAGGTAAGAATTGTACATACTTATGGGGTACATATGATATTTTGCTATGTGCATACAGTGTATAATCTTCCTACTATGGTCTCCTGTCCATTTTATATATTTTTTGTTTTTGAGACAGCTGTCACCAGGGCTGCGGTGCAGTAGCAGGATCTCGGCTCACTTCAGCCTCCTCCTCCCAGGCTCAAGTGACTCTTGTACCTCAGCCTCCTGAGTAGCTGGGATTACAGGTGTGCACCACAACGCCCAGCTAACTTTTTTGTATTTTTAGAGATGGGCTTTCACAACATTGGCCAGGCTGATCTTGAACTCCTGGTCTCAAGTGATCCGCCTGCCTCAGAATCCCAAAATTCTGGAATTACAGGCATGAGCCCCCCACGCCCGGCCTCTCATGTCCATTTTAGAATGTGGTTATTCCAACACCTAAGGTTAAACAACGGTGTTAGATATTCCTCTTTTCTTTTATCGTCTACGGATTTCTCTTAGCTTCAAGCCCTGTTCCCCTTATTTCTTTCTTTCTTTTTTTTTTTTTGAGACGGAGTCTCGCTCTGTGGCCCAGGCGGGAGTGCAGTGGCGCAATCTCGGCTCACTGCAAGCTCCGCCTCCCGGGTTCACGCCATTCTCCTGCCTCAGCCTCCCGACTAGCTGGGACTACAGGCGCCCGCCACCACGCCCGGCTAATTTTTTTTGTATTTTTAGTAGAGACGGGGTTTCACCGTGTTAGCCAGGATGGTCTCAATCTCCTGACCTCGTGATCCGCCCGCCTCGGCCTCCCAAAGTGCTGGGATTACAAGCGTGAGCCACGGCGCCCGGCCTGTTTCCCTTATTTCTGACGTAGATAATGCCTAATCATTTACTCTACTCCACTTAGAAACACTTCTCGAATCCTCCCTCTCTCACCTCAAACTGAGGTGCCTATCCTCTGAACCCCATTACGATGTTCTAATATTCTCTATATTATTACATTCCTTTTTTGTAATACACATTGCATGGGTCACAGAAGCTTTTGAGACTAGGGTTGGTGCCTTGGTTATTTGTGTCAAGAGTCAAAGATGTATCTCATGAGTCTGTGCTGAAAGAGAAAATTAAACAACTAGGTTCTGATATGTAGCAAAACATCTCAGGGATCAGAATCTTCTCTGGACTGAAGTCTGAGTAGTTTAGTCTAACAAATTGATTATAGAGAGGTTCAGCCTCAGAAAAGAATCATAAGCTGGAGAAGCCAAAAATTAGTGTACAGTAGACCAAATTACATCTTTGTCCATTAAAATCCTTTCTGAATTGTGTTGATTATTCAAAATTGAATCTATTTTCCAAGATAACAAAACACCTAGATGGAAAATGGGGCTGAATGTGATATATCAAACATAGACTTAAAAATTTTTACTAAAAATTTTGGTAGTTTTAAGGGAGTTTCTCATTCTTTTCTGCTTTCTAAAATTATCTATTACCACTACTATTACACATATGTGTTCAAAAAGTTTGGAGGATTGTTCAGATATAGCAGATTTAAAATATTTGAATATGGTCATGCTTTGCAGCTGGCTTGTAATTAAAGCAGAGAAATACTTGATGACATTTACACAAGAGAAATAATGAATTAAATTCCTAGGTCCTCTTAGAAACAAAACAATGCAAAATTTCAATAAAGGCATGAGGAAGGAAATGACACAGCATTTTAGAGATTTAACTAACTAGAGATTCCTTATAAGCTGAAACCACAATTATTTTATCTTCTAATGAACTGCAGTGGCATTTTGTATGACATTATTTGTTATGCATACAATCATTGGTTCGTTCAATGCATATTTATGAGCATCTACTAAGTAGTAGAGACCTTGTTAGCTACTAGGTCTAGAGAATAGTTATGGAAACTCCCCTATAAGACACAGAAAAATAATTGAACAATTCCAAGAGTCTCTAAGTACTTTAGAAGGGAAATAACAATGTATATATAGGTTACATGGGAGTGTTGGTGGGGTGTGGTCACAAAGATTATGGAGAAAATAAAGTTTATGCTGAGACTTGAAATATTTGTATGAAGAGTTAGTAAATAGGAGGTAAGGTAATTAGAGAATAATATTTTCAGAGAGGCAACAACCATGCATCCAGCAAGAGAGTCTTGTTCTAGGAAGTAAAAATCAAAAGGACAGCATAACTCTAACATAGAATGCAGGGAAGCGAAAACAAGGAGGAATGATGGTACAGGGATGAGTAGTTCAGACTTTGAAAAGAATGCTCTAACCACAGTATGGAAATGGATGGTATGGTAGGTAGATAAATGGAAATGTTTTTGCAATAATACTGGCCAGAGATGCCAACCTAAAGTACAATAGTGATGATTATATAAAAATTAGTGGTCTGATTTAAAAAGAAAAAAAACTATCTAGAGCATAGGTGCTACCAGTTTTCCTAATTAAATGAGATTCTTAGGAATCACTGTAAAAATAGTTTAACTGGAGTGATGGGGCAGAAAGTAAATAATAATAAATTGAGTAATGACTTTAACATGGGTAATTCAACTTGAAATACATACAAAATGTTTGGTTAGAAAGGGAAAATAAATGTAATAATTTTGCAACAGGGGATAGAAAGGAGGAAATTTGAGCATGGTTCCATGCTTAGACAGAAAGGCAGTACAGAGAGAAAGAAGTTGAAGACAGAGCAGGAGATAGGATTGGCACTGAAGTGCTCTTCTTAATGAGGCAAATGTGGTTGGCTTCAGAGCAAAAATAGAAGCATTAGCTTTGTATAGGAATGGGAACTTTTAATTTCACAGTAAGAGAAAGATAATTTTCTTGAAATTTATGGCATGAATTTGAAGGAGAGTTAAATTTTAAGGCTGATATTTAAATGGATCCAAAATTTGTGAAAATACAATATACCTAGGGAGCTGAGGAGTTGAAGCTATAAACTATCAAAAATAACCTGAAAGAAAAATCTTTTTTTTTTTTCTTTTTTTTTTTGGTGGCCATTAACTTAACTTTAGGCTTTTGGGCATATGCTAATCAGAGCTTCCAAAAAGCTACATACGTGTTTCACTTTTCATTAGATGAATGAGGATATTTTAAGAAATTGAAAGATAATTTATTTTAAAGTTGTGAGTAAATTCTCTTTAAAAAATTCACCTGATTATTAAATAACTTAAAGTTTATTTTTAAAAGCTTGTAACTTTTTATGAATCTTCGAGTAGACAGTAAAACTTTAACTCAGATATTAACGGGATGTGTATTAAATGGTTTGATTTTCAGTTTTTCAGTTTTGCAGCACAGAACACTGTTGAAATACCCATATCAACCTGATTTTTTTAACCTAACTCAGGTGTCCTTTGACATCTCCTAAATGTTGGGGGCTGGGGGTCAGAGTCAGTTATCTGGCTTCTGTTTTGTTGATTGCTTAGATTTGTTCCTGTTGTCAAAACTGTCGCCCCCAAAATTGATGTGGCACATGCTCATGCATAAGATGGTAAAATGAGTACATCCTTGTGCTTGCATTTGTTTTCAACATCGCCAAGGTGCTATGGGAAATTAAAGTAACAAAATTAGAAAAAAAAATAAAATTATTCAAAAGCAAAAAATAGAAGTGAAACAACATGCAAAAGGCAGTCAGTAAAGGACTCAGTTACCTCTTGAGTTTGAAGAACAAACTGATGAGGTAACAAATTAAGAACAAATTGAGAAGTAGAGAGAACAAATTTTCCCACCTAGGGGAAAGCAAACCTGAGGAAGGGATTTGCCCAGTAGAAGAGATAGCTAAAATGGATCGAAGGAGAAATTTACAGACTACAGGGAATAGAGAGGTTAGGGAATTGGAGGCCAACGTTCTGTTTGATGGGCTATCTAAACAATTAAATCATGGAAGAAAATTGTAAAGAGAATAAATTGGTGGCAACAGATTCAATGAGAGAGATAAATACACAGAATAGCTATAGTGACAGAAATCCAGTGCTATAAAGGTAGGACATCCAAGGTCTTTGCCTCAAAATAGCATTAGGGTTACTCAAAGATAAAGAAAGAATGATATTAGATTGGCTTTGGTATAACAGAGAAAACTCTTCCCTTTTATCATCCTGAGATGTGTGTAAAAAAAATGAAATAATGAGTTGCCTCAAAATCAAATAGCTGTTTAATCTGGTGTATCAAAAAGAATCCCTCCAAAAATAAGACTGTTTTTCTTATTGCTACATCTCTTCTCTTCCCTCTCCCCAGTTTTTATCTCCCCATTAATGTTAAGCATGATAATAATTTTAATTCTACATCACAAAAATATCTCCACTTTTATGTAAGTGGTTGTAGCATACCATACCAGTTAAAGTATTACCAGCAACCTGGCAACTAAAGATTCTTCTACATAATTTTTTAGTGTTTTTTACATAGCACTTTACTACATTCTGAGAGGCATACAAATTAATATTTTGAGCTAATAATTTTACCAACATTTAAGAATAAAATATATTTTGGTTAGAAATTTTAGTCTAAAACTCCACACCCCCCCAAAACACAAACACACAGACAGACAGACACACACACACGCACACACACACTTATGGAACAAAAATCCTTCAAGCAAAACTGACTTCATCATGGAGCCAGTGTCTATCTGTGCCAATGTAAATTGATTTATTGATTCTTATAATATTTTCTTTTGAAAAAGACCTATGCTGAGTTAAATTAGGAAATGACATTTAAAACTGGCTGTTAGATGTCAGAGAATATCTCTAAAATTGTCTCATGATTAGAAGCTTTAATTCCTCCAAATTTAAATCTATAATACTCATGGAATCATTTTAAACTCCAAACAAATCTTTACAAAGCAAGGAAACATGCTGGTTATAACGCTTAGTTAAGAAAGCTCTGCTGCATAAATCTATAACAGGTTTTTCATTTGAGGTGAGCTAACACCCACTTCTGATTGCAGGACTGTTAGATACAAGATTACATTCTTACCCTTGTAAATAAAGCAGATTAGAATGGTATAGTTTCCCCTTACTCCAGACAGTGGCAAAGGACTGGATTTATGTTGTGCTATTTTGGGTGTGTTACAGGCTTTGTCACAGGAATTAGGTTTTAGAATTGTGTGGCTTCATTTGTTTCTTGATAGGTAATATTAAACTGTATACTTTTTATCTTTCTTAAACGTTGTGTAATTTCTCTGTATGGTCATCCAGATTTTTCTCTTTATGCACTCAGAAGCCAATGACAAAGCAGATGAAACAAAAGATAATATTTGGAATTTATAATTTGCCAAAGGCAGGCAACTCAGGCCTGTAATTTCCAGGGCATTCTGTGCTTTCTGACTGATTTATTTCCCTTGAAACTCAAGTATCACAAGGAAAACAGAGAGTCATCAGTGAATGGAAAAATAATATTTTCTATTGATGGTTTGTTTATCCCACTTTATGTACAAAATAGTTTGTCAGTGAGATGATTTTAAGTTACCACACAAGAAATAAGAGTAATTCTTTACCAGGCAGCAAATACCTGTGAAATAATCAGGAATATTTGTTTAATTTTTATTTTTTAATTGACACATAATAATTGTACATATTTATGGGGTACGTCATGATGTTTCAATACATAGAATGTATAGTGAGCAGACCAGGGTAATTAGCATATCTATCATCTAAAACACATCATTTCTTTCTTGTGGGAACATTTATTTTCCTTTCTTCTAGCTATTTGAAAATATATAACATATTATTATTCACTGTAGTAATCTTACAGTGCTTTCCATTTAGATATAAATAAGTTCTAGAGTTCTATAGCAATATTTTTTAATAAACAGGAAGATTTTATAACCTCTGTCAAATATCTATTAATTAGTAAATACTAGTTTTAAGAAATAATTAACAGGCATGGCCCCAGCAGTTACAATCCCTTTAATATCATATATCTGGCAAAGATGTAGTCTGTATATGGTCTGATATGAACAAAATTACTACTAACTGCCTATTCAGCCTTAGGATTCCTGATAAAGCTGAATAAACTCCAAAAATATAAAGTCTTTGGAGGACAGGATTTTATTAATACATGCTGTCCCTAGATACCTGCTGCTGTCACTTTAAATTTGCACCTACCCAGTGTCATGAGACTAATCCAGATGACAGCCTAAGAAGCCTTTCAGTTCTCTGATATTTTGTTTCAGTGCTGCCAGTGATGCATCTCCAGCTCTGAGCACTATTTTCCCTTTATTCAAGTACTATAGCTGTAAGGTGAAGATAGTTAAATCAGCCACTTGCCTTGCAGGTACATGTTAGTGAGAGACAAACTTGCAGTGCACTGTATTCATTAAGTGCTTCATTGTTAAAGATCTCATCATTTGACACAGTGTGTTTCATTCACCATATCTTATTACTTTGTCTTAAAGACTTTAAGCCGAGGAAAAAGTGATTTGAAAGTAAATAGTTTGCTTTGAAAAATGTACTGAGAGGACGAATAAATAGTTTAATGTTGCACATAAATGTCTGGATACATTTTTGGGGAATCTGGGTCCCTATAATATAATGTTTTATTTAAGCCAATTTGATTTGTTTTCTTCTGATTGGTTGGCCTTTTTATCATTACAAAAAGTTTTTCTTTATCTCCACTAACAATTTTCTTTTTAAAGTCTTTTTTATCATAGTAAGACATATCACATACAATTTCCTATTTAACCATTTTTATGTATAAAGTTAGTGACATTAGTTTTATTTACTATGTTATGTGGTCATCGCAACTATTAGTTTCCAAAATTTTTCATCATACTAAACAAACTCTACAGCCATTGTGTAATAACTCCATTTTTCTCTTGCCCAAGTCACTGGTGAACTTTAATATTTCTGAATTTCACTGTTCTAGATATTTCATATAAGTTGAATCAAAATATTTCTCCTTTATTTTGTGCTTCATTTCACTTAGCACAATGGTGTCAAATTTCATGTATGTTTTCAGCATGTATATAGGCTTCATTCCTTCTTATGAGTGACTGATATGCCATTGCAGGTATATGTCACATTTATTTATCCATTTATCTATTGATGGACACTTGGATTCTTTCTACTTTTTGGCTACTGTGAATACCCAATGAACATTGTTATCTAACTATTTGTTGGAGTCACTTTTCAATCATTTTATGTAAAGTATATGCCTGGGAATAGAATTACTGGGTCATATGGTAATTCTATATTTCAATTTTGAGGAACTTCTAAATTATATTAATATTTCACAGTAGCTGCACAAATTAACATTTTTAGCAGAAATCTATGAGAGTTCCTATTTTTCCACATCTTTGCTAACTCTTGCTATTTTCTGTTTTGTTTCTTTGTTTTTAATATAGCCATTCTATTAAGTATGAAGTGGTAACTAAATGGTTTGACTTCACTTTCCCTAAAGGATTAATAATTTGAACATTTTATATTCTTATTGGCCATTTCAGTGTGTTATTTGGAGATATGTCTATTTCAAGTCCTTCGCCCCTTTTATAAATCAGGTTGTTCATTTTCTTGATAATGTCATTCGACATACAGAAGTATTCAATTTCAATGAAGAAAATTTACCTATTTTTCTTTCTCTTATTACTTATGTTTTTAATGTCATATGTAAGAATTAATTGCCAATTCCAAAGTCATGAAGATTCACCTCTATATTCCCTTCTAAGAGAAGATTTATGTTGTCGTTGTTGTTATCATTTTAATCCATTCTTTCAATATCTGTCTTTTGATTAGAGTTTAATCCACACACATTTAAAGTAATTATGGATTGAAAGAATTAACTTCTGTTATTTAGCTGCTTCATGTATGTCTTATAACTCTTTTGCCCTTATTTTCTTCATTGCTTCTTCCTTTTGTGTTTAGCTAATTTTTTTGTTGTAAACTGTTTGTCCCTTCTCATTTCTTCTTTAGAATATTCTTCAGATATCTTCTTTGTGAAACATATGGATTAAATTTAACATCCTTAGTTTACAAAAAAAAAATTCTCTTTTATTTTAGAATGGCAGTTTTGCCTGATATATCATTCTTTTTTATTTTTTATTTTTATTTATTTATTTATTTATTTATTTATTTATTTATTTATTTATTTATTTATTTTAGAGATGGAGTCTCGCTCTGTCGCCAGGCTGGAGTGCAGTGGCTCAATCTCAGCTCACTGCAACCTCCCCCTCCCAGGTTCAAGCAATTCTACGGCCTCAGCCTCCTGAGTAGCTGGGATTACAGGCGCATGCCACCATGCCTAGGTAATTTTTTTTGTATTTTAGTAGAGACTGGGTTTCACCATGTTGCCCAGGCTAGTCTCGAACTCCTGAGCTCAGGAAATCTGCCCGCTTCAGCCTCCATAAGTGCTAGGGTTATAGGTGTGATCTACTACACTCGGCCTGCCTGATACATAATTCTTGGTTGACTTTTCTTTCAGTACTTTAAATATGTTACTGCCTTGTGGCTCCCATGGTTTCTATTGAAAAAATAGCTTTAAATCTTATTGAGGATCCCTTGTGAGAATAAATCACTTTGCTCTTACTGCTTTTAAGATTCTCTCTTTTCTTTGTCTTTCAACAGTTAGATTATAATGTGAATCAATGTGAAACTGATTTTATTCTACTTGATATTTATTGAACTTCTTAGATCAGAAGATTCATGTCTTTCGTCAAATTGGGTAACTTTTTGATCATTTTTTCTGTAGATATTCCTTCTACTTCGTCTTTCTCTTCTCATTCTGTAACTTTCACAATGAAAATGTTTGCTCACTTGGTGTTGCTTCACAAGTCCTTGAGGCTATAATCACTTTCATTCTTGTATTTCTTCTCCTGAGACACAATAATTTCAATTGTTTTACCTTCAAATTTGGTAATTCTTCTGCCTGCTCTAATCTACAATTAAAACCTACTGGTCAATTTTTAATTTTACTTTTTAGTCAATTTTTAGTTTAGTTTATCTTTTCTTTTCAGGACAATAATTTATATTTGGTTTCTTTTTATAATTTCTCTCTTTCTTTTTTTTAAATGGTCATTTTGTTATATATTTAAATTTTTTCTTTCATTCTTTATTCTTGTTTTCCTTTAACCCTTTGAGAATATGTAAGAATTTAAAAAAATATTTTGCTGATTAAATCTAATGTCCAGGCCTCCTCAGGGATGGCTTCTGCCCATTTACTTTATTATTTTGAATATAACACACTTTCTATTTCTTTGTATGCCTTATGGGGCTTTTGTTGTTGTTCAAAACTGTGCATGCAAATATGGTGATGTGTAACAGTGGGAGTCAAATTTGCCCTCTTCCCCAGGGCTTACTATTTTTTTATTTTATTTTTAAGTCTGTAGTAACCCATTTGTTTTCCAAAGTATTTTTGCAAAGACTGAATTTTGTGTGTGTGTGACCACTCAAGTATCTCTTTCCTTAGCTCCTGTTTAGCTAATGCTTGACAGAGATATACTTTAATACCAAGAGCAAAACAAACAAACAAAAAGAAGCAAAACAGCTGGGCATGGTGGCTCACACCTGTAATCCCAGCACTTTGGCAGGCCAAGGTGGAGGGATCACCTGAGGTCAGGAATTTGAGACCAGCCTGGTCAACAGGGTGATACCATGTCTCTACTAAAAATACAAAAATTAGCTGGACATGATGGTGGGTGCCTGTATTCCCAACTACTCAGGAGGTTGAGGCAGGAGAAGCGCTTGAACCCTACATTTCTGGGTAGAAGGTGTAGGTTGCAGTGAGCCAAGATAACACCACTGCACTCCAACCTGGGCGACAGAGCGAGACTCCATATCAAAATAAAATAAAATAAATAAATAAAAGCAAAATAACTCAATAAAATGAAAACAAGAAACACAAAGAACACATAAAAACAATTAAAAAAAAAGAATCAAAAACAAAACAAAAATAATCAAATACTCTTCCAATCTTTGCAGATTGGCTCTTTGCTGGGACATGCCAACACTTTGGTAGTCTTACAATAAATTCTGATAAGCTCAAAGTGCAAGTTTGGGGTTTTCAGGGCTTTTCAGAGAATATGTCTTGCTTTAGGCATATGTGTGGGTTTCTCAATTCCCCCATATAAAAGGGTGCTGTGAATGTTCTAGTTTCCCCAAATCTCTCCCAGTATTTCCTCCAGGTTTTAGGCAATTTTTGTATGTTGAGATGGTAATACTTTGCTCTAATAATCTGTGGGTTGTTTGTCTTGGTGAGTTTTTAAGCAATGCCCACATTTTTTTTCAACCTGTGTTGTGAGTTAAGCAAAATAGAGTCTAGCAACTTTCAATAACCTGTAGGTATCCACAATCACATTAAACAGACAAACACAATTACTGACTAATAAGATCTGCCCATCTCCCTCCCAAACCAGGCACCAGGGTCTCAGACTGGGAATGTGAGCGTCTCCCTTCAAGTTTGCTGATGTGATGGGAAGAAAGTTGAGTAAGGGTAAGTAAATGCCACTAAGCTTTCCTACCATTTAAAGCTGCTATTTTCTTGTTCCAGCATTCACTTGGTTGCTGGGAACCTTTGTGTCTAAGAGTTATGACAAAGTTGGTTCTGATGCTGTCTCTTGCTTTCTCAATATTTCTGTGGGAGGGCAAGAGTTTGGGTCTGCCTACTCTACCATTATTCTGCTGTTACTCTTTGAAGTTTTTTTTTTTCTGATATTAGAAGAGCCACTTCAGAATTCCTATGGTTTCTGATTGCATAATGTATTTATATCCATCCAATGAAGCTAGTATGCTAAGGAGGGATCTCTTATTGACTTACTCTGCCTTAGATGCGGAATAGATGGCTATCCTGAACCATTCCTCTTTTTGGCTATGTGTAAGTATAATGTCAATTTGATTTTAATGATTTCTACTGAAGAACAGTTAACAGAGTATAGGCAATATTATTCTTGGGTTTGTTAACCAAAACTACATAGGTGTAAGAAAATCAGGATAATAATAAGATTCAGATTATGAGATAGTGTAAAAGAAAAAAAAATCATGTAAATACATTTTTTAGCTTTTGTATTGCCTAATAAACAAGGGAAAATAAAAAATCCAATAATCAAAATACTGCTACAATTATTATGTGAATAATCTAAATGGCATGCACTAATTTTTTTCCTGCTATTTGTTGACTCAAGGTAGCATATTTTCTTCAATTCTTCATAGATTGCCTTTTCTTGCAAATTAATTTATAAAATTCGTTTATTCCAAAGAGTTCATTTGATAATTATTTTAATTTCTTCTTGTTTAAAATTAATAGACAAAGAAAAAACAAAACATAATCTTACCTCAAAATTAGAAAAAAAATGAGCAAACATAAAAAAATTCAAATAGTCTTTGTAAACCACATATATTCTCTTCTCCTTCAGGCCCATCATCTTACAATGTTTCCTTATCACTTAGTAGCAAATAGACTCTTTTAGATTCACACTAATGCACACTCAATCTCACAGGACTTGTTATTTCAATGTGCTCCAATGTTTCTTATACAATTTACTTCTAATAAACCTTACTTTCCTCTCTCAAGTTAGAATCAAAATCAGTGGTCATAAATTTTATAAATCTTTTAAGGTTTGATCATCTCTGGTAATCAAATTACTATCATTTTAAGTAGCATTCTTTAACTGCTTCCTAAATCCACATTCAGTTCTTATCTCAAAATTACCTAAAGCTATTAAATGTATTTGATAATATTCTTCATAACATTTCAAAAGTAATTTCTTTTTTATTTTACTGAAAGAAACACAAAGATAGGGCCGGGCACAGTGGCTCACGCCTGTAATCCCAGCACTTTGGGAGGCTAAGGCTGGCGGATCACCTGAGGTCAGGAGTTCGAGACCAGCCTGGCCAACATGGTGAAACCCTGTCTTTACTAAAAATACAAAAATTAGGTGGGTGTGGTGGCAGGCACCTGTAATCCCAACTACTCAGGAGGCTGAGGCAAGAGAACTGCTTGAACCCAGGAGGCGGAGGTTGCAATGAGCCAAGATCGTGCCATTGCACTCCAGCATGGGGGACAAGAGTGAGACTCCATTTCAAAATAAATAAATAAATAAAATAAATAAAATAAAAAAGAAACACAAAGAATAAACAAATAATTGTTACATAGTGAAACAGGCATGGAGTGACCCACTCTCACCATGGATCTCTAGAATCCTATTTGTGGGAGATACCATGACGCCTACAGACATCTGAGCTGGAAGAGAGAATTGCCTGTAGAAATGGTTAAGGCAGAACTCCAGCCTGCACAGAGCCAAGAAGGTATGCCCTTGGAACAGCTGCAGTGGAGCACGACTATGGGTATCCATCCCCCAACACTCACTATACTCTCTAGGCAACTTTGGCCTCTGATAGCTGCCAGACCTGGACAGAGTTGGGCTATCTTACCTGTGGGACAGAGTCAGTTAGATCTGAGTACCCCACAGTCTGCTGGTTTCTCCCAGGGTCCCTGCCTTGCTATACCTACTTGCAGCACAACTTCAACTTGCCAGCGGCCACCACCATAGTACTTTTGCCAGCAGATCCCACCTACCCATTAGAGCACTTTTACAAATGGATCCCTGCCAATGCATACTCCCTTCATGGTCTCATCGGCATGCATTTGTTGGCAGCCCCTTTCAGAGTGTTGTTGCCAGCAGACTGGAAACACATTGACCCCTCCAGCACAGCAGTGGCTTAGCCTCAGGGGCTAGAGAACAAAGCTACAAGGCCTGCTCCCATTGTCCTAGGGACACACAGTCCAGGAGTGCTGAGCTGAGCCTTGGCCCTGTGAAACATCCAGAAACAAAGCCAATTCACTAAACCCAGCTTATACCACAGTCAAACCTTCAAGGGTATCAAAGAAGGTAAAAGCAAAAAGCCCCATCCAAAAGACAGCAAATTCAATGATTAAAGGAACTTCAGCCCACAAAGAGGAGAAAAACCCTATGCAAGAACTCTGGCAACTCTAAAGGCCAGAGTAGCTTCTTACCTCCAAAATATCACAACAGCTCCTCAGCAATGTTCTTAGCCAGACAAAAATGGCTGAAATGACAGACATAGAATTCAGAATCTGGATGGCAAGAAAGCTCATCACAATACAGGAGAGGGTTGAAATCTAATCCAAGGAAAACAGTACAACTGTCCAAGAGTTGAAAGATGATGTCACCATTTTAAGAAAAAAACAAAATGAACTTCTGGAAAAAAAATTGTTTTCAGTAATTTCACAATGACTTTTGAATCATAAATAATAGAAGAGACCAAGCTGAGGGAAGAATATCAGAGTTTGAAGAACAGTCATTTGAATTAATGCAGGCAGACAAAAATAAAGAAAAAAATAATTTTTTAAAAAAATAAGCAAAACCTTTAAGAAATATGAGGTTATATGAAGAGATGAAACTAATAAACATAGGATAAATTGCCATTCCTGAAAGAGATAGCGAGAGAGCAAGCAAGTTGACAGAGAAAGAGTAGACACATTTGAAGATATTGTTCACATAATTTCCCCCATCTCACTAGAGAGATCAACATGCGTATTCAGGAAATTTAGGGAACCCCTGAGGGATACTATATAAGAAACCATCACCAAGACATAGATAACAGATTCTCCAAAGTCACTGCAAAAGTAAAAATTCTTAAGGGCAGCTAGAGAAGGAGCAGGTCATATACAAAGGGAATCTCATCAGTGGACATTTAAGAAAAAATCTTACAATCAAGAAGAGATTAGAGGCTCATATTCCGTGTCCCTTCAGAAAATAAATTCCAACCAAGAACTTTATATCCAGCCAAATGAAGTTTCATAAGCAAAAAGGAATAATATCCTAATCAGACAAGATAATAATAAGGCAATTTATTACCACAGGACCTGCTTTTCAAGAGGTCCTCAAAGGAGTGCTAAACATGAAAACGATAGATCATTCACAGTCAATACAAAAACAAACTGAAGTACATAGACCATTGACAATATAAAACAACTATACCATCAAGTCTACGTAACAAACAGCTAACAACACAATGACAGGATGAAATTCTTACATATCAGTAGTAACCCTGAATGTAAATTGCCTAATGCTGCATTTAAAAGCTACAGGCCATGTGCGGTGGCTCACGCCTGTAATCCCAGCACTTTGGGAGCCCGAGGCCAGTGGGCCACCTGAGGTCAGGAGTTTGAGATCAGCCTGGCTAACATGGTGAAACCCTGTCTCTACTAAAAATACAAAATTAGCTGGATGTGGTGGCATGCGCCTGTAATTCCATCTACTCGGGAGGTTGAGGCAGGAGAATCACTTGAACCTGGCAGGGCGGAGTTTGCAGTGAGCCGGAACTGCACCACTGCACTCTAGCCTAGGCAACAAAGTGAGACTGTCTGAAAAAAAAAATAAAAAATAAAAAAGCCACAGAGTGGCAAGTTGAAAAAAAAATCAAGACCGAACTGTATGCTGTCTTCAAGATATCCATCTCACAAGAAATTATACCCATAGGCTCAAAGTAAAGGATGGAGAAAGATCTATCACGCAAATGGAAAACAATAAAGAATAGGAGTTGCTATTCATATTTTACTCAAAACTGACTTTCAACCAATAACAAGCAAAAGGGACAAAGGAGGGCATTACATAATGATAAAGGGTTCAATTCAATGAGAAGATATGTATACACACACACACACACACACACACAAAAAAAAAAAAACATTGCAGCACCTAAATTCATAAAACAAGTTCTTACAGATTTACAAAGAGACTTAAATAACTACACAATAATAGTGGGAGACCTCAACACCCCACTGACAGTGTTAGATCATTGAGGTGGAGCACTCACAAAGATATTCAGGACCTAAACTTGACACTTGGCCAAATAGACCTAACAATCACCTAAAGAATACTCCACTCAATAATTGACTGTACTTTCTTCTCCTCTGCACATGGCACATATTTTAAGATTGACCACACACTCAGCCATAGAGAAATTTTCAAACAAATTCAAAAAACCTGAAATCATACTAACCCCACTCTTGGACCACAGCACAATAAAAATAGAAATTAATGTTGAGATTTCTCAAAACCATACAATTACATGGAAATTACGATTTCTCAAAACCATACAATTATATGTGACTGGAGGAGTCGCTATGGGTTCTTTCACTTGACCAACCCTTTCTTTGCCAGGGGCAGAGAATGTAAAGGGGGTAAATTTATTGTCCCAAGGGCACTGCAAAAGTAAGCTTTCTTTCTATCTATCTGCTGAGGCCTCTTCTCTAGCTCCTTGCCTCTGTTCATGTCTATTGTTTTGGAAAAGGATGGTCTCTTTGTCTCAAGGCTGTGTGATACAGTCATCTCCAGTTAGGATTGACACCTTTTTCTTTCTTAATAGTGTTTGGCGTTAATTACAGGTAGTCGGGAGCCCTCTCATGTGCAGAACATCTGGTAGATTAACCTGCCAGTCTGGGTGGTTATACTGCTTTCTAAATTTCTAAGAACATCTTTCTTTTTCTTTCCTAAAGAATTCTGCAGAATTATTTGACAATATATGTATGGACCATGTTTCCTTGTGGTGTACACTCTGTTTTGGTTTATCTTTTTAAATCAAGTGTCTGTTTGGGAGGAGATAAAGATATTTAGTCTATTAGATTTGCTCCGCTGGATTTTTTTTTTTTTTTGAGACAAAGTCTTGCTCTGTTGCCCAGGCTGGAGTGCAGTGGCACAACCTCGGCTCATTACAAGCTCCACCTCCCGGGTTCACGCCATTATCCTGCCTCAACCTCCTGAGTAGCTGGGACTACAGGTGCCCACCACCACGTCTGGCTAATTTTTTTGTATTTTTAGTAGAGACAGGGTTTCACTGTGTTAGCCAGGATGGTCTTGATCTCCTGATCTCATGATCCGCCCACTCAGCCTCCCAAAGTGCTGGGATTACAGGGGTGAGCCACTGCACCTGGCCCAGCTGGATTTTTTAAAGTGTAATTAGATTAGCTGTCTTATTGTTTATTTAGTAAGATTAGTCTATTAATTAAAGTTTGATAATTAAAAATGAAACAAAACAGCCTGCTCCTGAATGACTTTTATGTGAAGAATAAAATTAAGGAAGAAATCAAAAAAAATTTGAAAGGAATAAAAATAAAAATACAACATATCATAATCTCTAGGACATAGCTAAAGCCACACGGAGAAAGTTTATAGTGCTAATTGCCTGCATCAAGAAGTTAAAAAGATATCAAATTAAACACCTAACATAACATAAAGGAACTAAAAAAAAGAGAGCAAACCAACCCCAAAACAAGCAGAATAAAATAAGTAACCAAAATCGGAGATGAATTGAATGAAATCAGATGCAAAAAATTCATACAAAATATCAAAGAAAACAAAAGTTATTTATTTGAAAGAATAAACAAGATTGACAGACTACTAGTTAGATTAACAAAAAAAAAGAGAGAAAATACAAATAAACACAATAAGACATGAAAAGTTGACCTTACCACTGAAATACAGAAAATCCTGATACACTATTTTGAACACTTCTATGAACACAGACTAGAAAATCTAGAAGAAGTGAATCAATTTCTGTAAACATACAACCTCTCAAGATTAAACCAGGCCAAAATCAAAATCCTGAAAAGGCCAATAATGTGTTTCAAAATTGAATCAGTAATAACAAACCTACCAGTCAGAAAAAGCCCTGGACCAGATAAATTCACACTGCAATTCTAGTAGATATATAAAGAAATCCTGTTAGCAATCCTACTGAAATTATTCAAAAAAATCATGGAAGAGGGAAACCTCCCTAACTCATTCTGTGAGGCCAGCATTACCCTGATACCAAAATCTGGCAGAGATACAACAAAAAAGAAAACTTTAGGCTAATATCCTTGATGAACACTGATGTAAAAGTCCTCAACATAATACTAACAAGCTGAATCCAGCAGTACATCAAAAAGCTTATCCATCACGATCATTTAGGCTTCATCTCCAGGATGCAAAGTTGGTTCAACACAGGCAAATAAAGTGATTCATCACATGACAGAACTAAAGGCAAAAACCAAATGATTATCTCAATAGATGCAGAAAAGGCTTTTGATAAAATTGAACACCGCTTCATGTTAAAAACTCTCGATAAACTAGGGATTGAAGGAAATACCTCAAAATAATAAGAGCTATCTATGACAAACCCACAGCCAATATCATACTGAATGGGCAAAACCTGGAATCATTCCCTCAGAGAATGGGAACAAGACAAGGATGCTCACTCTCACCACTCTTACTCAACATAATAAGGGAAGTCCTAGCTGGAAAAATAAGTAAAGTACATCCAATTAGGAAGAAAGGAAGTCAAACTATCTCTGTTTATGGATAACATAATTTCATACCTAGGAAAATCCTATAGTCTCTGCCCAAAGGCTCTTAGAACTAATAAACAGTTTCAGTAAAGTTTCAGGATACAAAATCAATACATAAAAATCAGTAGCATTTCTTTACCTCAATAATATATAAGCTGAGCACCAAATCAAGAATGCAATCACATTCACAATAGCCAAAATAAAAGACTAAAATATTTAAGAGTACAGCTAACCAGGGAGATGAATGATCTCTACAACAAGAATTACAAAACACTGTTGAAAGAAACCAGAGACAACACAACAAATGCTTATGGATAGAAAAAAATCAATATTGGTAAAATGGCATACTAGCCAAAGCAATTTACAGATTCAATGTTATTTCTGTTAAACTACCAATGTCATTTTTCACAGAATTAGAAAAAATATTCTAAAATTCATATAGAACCAAAATAGAGCAGAAATCATCAAAGCAATCCTAAGCAAAATGAACAAAGCCAGAGGCATCACAATACTCTACTTGAAACTATACTACAAGGCTACAGTAACTTAAAAAGTACTGGGCTGATACAAAGACAGACACATAGACCAGTGGAACAGGTAAGGAAGCCAGAGATAAATCCACACATTTATAACCACCTGATCTGCTACAAAATTCACAATAACAAGTAATGGGGAAAGGAATTCCTATTTGACAAATTGTGCTGGGGTAACTGGCTAGTCATATGCAGAAGATTGAAATTGGACCTCTTCCTTACACCATATGCAAAAATCAACTCAAGATGTATTAAATACTTGAATCTCTAAAGATGTGAGTAAGACATCAAACTATAAAAATTCTAAAGGAAAACCTATAAATTACCATTCTGCATATAGGACCTAGCAAAGATTTTGTGATGAATTCTCTAAAAACAATTGCAACAAAAACAAAAACAAAAAAGCAAACAGGACATAATTAAACTAAAGAGTTTCTGCATAGCAAAGGAAACTATCAATAGAATACATAGACAACGTACAGAAAATATTTGCAATCTATACATCTGACGAAAGACTAATATCCAGAATCTATAAGGAACTTAAATCAAGAAGCAAAAAACAACCCCATTTAAAAAATGGGCAAAGGAAATGAATGGATGCTTCTCCAAAGAAGACATACCAGCAGCCAACAAGCATATGGAAAAATGCTCAACATCACTAATTATTAGAGAAATGCAAATCAAAACCACGATGAGATACTATCTCACACAAGTCAGAATGGCTGGTATTTAAAAAGTCAGGAAATAATAGATATTGTCAAGATTGCAGAGAAAAGGGAGGACTTATACGCTGCAGGTGGAAATAAAAATGAGTTCAGCCTCTGCCAAAAGCACTGTGGAGATTTCTCAAAGAACTTAAAGCAGAACTACCATTTGACCCAGCAATCCCATTACTGGTTATATACCCAAAGGAAAAGAAATTATTCTACCAAAAGACATATGAACTCTTATGCTCCTCACAGCACTATTCACAAAAGCAAAGACATGGAATCAACCTAGATGCCCATCAATGGTGGATTGAATACAGAGAATGTGGTGTATTTATTCCATGGACTAATGAGCAGCCATAAAAAAGAACAAAATCATGCCCCTTGCAGCAACATGGATGGAGCTGGAGGCCATAATCTTAAATGAATTGATGCTGGAACAGAAAACCAAATATTTTCGTGTTCTCACTTATAAGTAGGAGCTAAACATTGAGTACACAGGGACACAAAGACGGGAACATTAGAAACTGAGGCCTTCTTGAGTTTGGAGGGTGGACGAGGATGAGGGTCAAAAAACTGCCTGTTAGGCACTATGCTTACTATGTGGTTGATGAAATCATTTGTACACCAAACCCCAATGATTCACAATTTACCAATATAAGAAATCTGCATATGTACCCCATGATCATAAAACACAGGTTGGAATAGGAAAAAAAAGAAAAAAAAAACAATTGTCACATAAGTAAATATTATATTGAAAACATTGTTATTTTCCTTTCCTAAAACATTCTTTCCCTTCACCTTAGTTTGACTTACAGTCATCAAGTCTTAGCATGAATATAATTTTCTTCATGATACTTTCTGAGTTGTTATTTATCATTAATTGTATATGCAACATTCTCCCATAGTACTCTCAACATCTCTTGTTTTTATCATAGTAGAATATCATTGCTTGCTATCAAACAATCTCCATTTAGCAAAAGTCTGAGAAAGAGAAGTGGGATTGCTGTCTTTGTCATCATTGTATATCAGCACATTACTTTGCTCGGTAAACACTTTCAAGGATAAAAACAGTATCCAACTTAACTAAGTAATATATATTTTTTTAAATTAGCAAACAACATCTGGGTTAAAGTTAGTAGGGTGGTAGTAAATGTTTATTAACTGGCTACTAAAAAATATGTTTATTATAAATTTGGAAAAAACTATCATATTCATTATAAAAGATTATTATAAAGTGTTATATTTTGTTATAAAATGGAAAGTATATTAATACATGTGCATTCATTATAAATTTTACTGAATAAAAAGCATAATATGATTTAACAAAAATAACGTCTATAATACTCTTTACTGTAAATTGCATAGAGCTAATTGATACTTACAATTGGCTTTCATTGTTCCTGCCAGATAATTGTATTCATAGAGAAACTACTGTTACAATTAATGAACACATGTAGTTTTGGTAAGAATACTGGTTGATATTCCCCTTTACATTAATTAGTAAGACAAAGGAGAAGTACTATGCCAGAATGTCTCTTGTCCACCAATGACGTGAATGACTTATTTATGAATCAGAGAGTAGTTCTAGGATATTGAAATAAAACTTTTTGTGTACATTATTCAAAATGTGATTGCTGCAGACACAACATACTTTTGTTTTTAACCTGTATTATAAATAATTTTTCCTCATGATAGGCTTAATTCTGAATAAATAACAAAATAGAAAATTAAGCCCCCATTTAAAGAGTTTGCCAATTTGTGTACTGTAAGTACTCCCACTGTTGCCAATTTCAAGCTTCTGATGTTGTCTCTGCATAAAGTTGGGAGAAGTAGCATACCATTACATAGTATTTTCACCACTCAGGTATGATGAACATAAGTAACCTCAGAAGCATAAATAATTGCAAAACATAAAATAATTAAAACAATAAATTTTAAGTATATATTTAATTTTTAAAATATAATTTATTAAAATATGTTTATATAATATAATTTTAATAATGGTTAAGTTTTAAAATCAGCTCAGAAACTTCCTAAAACTTTAACAATTAGCTCTGGTTGGGTGGTATATGCCAGCTCCAGCACATCGATGGAAATCATTACATATCTGTAATTTTAATAGAGTGAATTCAATTATCATTGAAGTATTTACTAATTGTACTATGCTATAGTTAATCTGATTAGTCCCCCAAATACTGTTCCTTTTATTTCTAAAAATATGTCATTCCCATGTATTTACCAATTCAGAAAATCTAAATTCTAAAAATCAGGGATTTTTGAAAGCATAGTCTTAAAAAATAATTTTCTTTTATTCTCTTTGTCTCTCTTTGTTCTGTTTTCCTTCCTTTCTTCTTTCATTAATTTATAGAATCTCTTTGAAAATAAGTTCTTGGTTTCCATGACAATACAGGAACACACAATAGTATTCATACAGTTTAAAAGTTTTAATGCTCCCACTCAACCTCTTCTGTGTTATTACTGTAGACCTGTTAACCTGGAAAATCAAAGGCCGCACCTGTAATCCCAGCACTTTGGGTGGCTATGAGAATGATTGCTTGAGCCCAAGATTCTGAGACAAGCCTGGGCAACAGAGGAAGACCCAGTGTTTACAAAAATTTATTGTTATTATTATTTGAGACCGAGTCTCGCTCTGTCGCCCAGGCTGGAGAGCAGTGGCACGATCTTGGCTCACTGCAACCTCCACCTCCTGGGTTCAAGCGATTCTTCTGCCTCAGCTTCCCAAGCGGCTGGGACTACAGGCGCACGCCACCACGTCCAGCTAATTTTTGTAATTTTAGTAGAGAGGAATTTCGTCATATTGGCCAGACTGGTCTCGAACTCCTGACCTTGTGATCTGCCCACCTCGGCCTCCCAAAGTGTTGAGATTACAGGCGTGAGCCACCGTGCCCAGCTCCAAAATTATTTTTAAAAATTAAGTTACTCACTTATCATCAGAGTTCTTTAAAACATTAATTATATAATTAGATATCCAAAAATCTTACCTCTTTACTTAAACCATTTGGAGCCTCAGTTGAGGTTTCCAAAGCACTGATCATTTCCCTCAGTTTTGTTGGCTGTCAGTGTTGTAATAAAAATACCTCCTATATTGTATGTATATGGCAATTTTAATGAAATTTTAAAAATTGAGATAGAGGCCAGGTGTGGTGGCTCATGCCTGTAATCCTAGCACTTTGGGTGGCCAAAGCAGGAGGATCATGAGGTCAGGAGTTCGAGACTAGCCTGGCCAACATGGTGAAACCCCATCTCTACTAAAAATGCAAAAAAATTAGCTGGGTGTGGTGGTGCATGCCTGTAATCCCAGCTACTTAGGAGGCTGCGGCAGGAGAATTGCTTAAACCTAGGAGGCGGAGTTTGCAGTTAGCCAAGATCGCATCACTGCACTCTAGCCTGGGCGACAGAGCAAGATTCCATCTCGAATTAAAAAAAAAAAAAAAAATTGAGATAGGGATTTAAGGTGATTCTAATGATTCAAGGTGGTTCTTTGAATGCAGGGATCTTGAAAAGTTAACCATTGTTTGATAAGCAAGTTGTTCAGGTGAACAAGCTATTATTCGAATAAATTAATTTTCAGAAATTTCATGAAGTAAAAAGTGAAGTTACTTGTTGATTAAAAGTCACATCTTCTTGCAGGGCGCGGTGGCTCACGCCTGTAATCCCAGCACTTTGGGAGGCCAAGGTGGGCGTATCACGAGGTCAGGAGATCCAGACCATCCTGGCTAACACGGTAAAACCCCGTCTCTACTAAAAATACAAAAAAATTAGCCGGGCGTGGTGGCAGGCGCCTGTAGTCCCAGCTAATCAGGAGGCTGAAAAGCAGGAAAACGGTGTGAACACGGGAGGCAGAGGTTGCAGTGAGCCGAGATGGCGCCACTGCACTCCAGCCTGGGCAACAGAGCAAGACTCCATTTCAAAAAAAAAAAAAAAAGTCACATCTTCTTAAGAATTTATTTGATAAAATAGTGAAGTCATGTTGACAAAGGTGACCTTCATTATTTATCCTGATAGTTAATCTGTATAGGTAAAGATGGTCTCCATTTTCATCAGCAAAACCCAATTAACTGGTACCAGGCAAGTCAAGTAATTAAAAAAATTTGCTTAGATTAAAGTTGAAATTAGAAGTAGTGACCAGATCAGTGTAAAACAGTATGTGTTTAAATGAATTCTTTCTAATCCCTTGAACAAGATTTCAATTTTCTTTACTCTAGGATTCCACATATGACTGAATACTATTTTTTAAGAGGTACTATTTCTAAGTTTTAACAAACACTTCAGAAGTTAGAGATCAGTGACAATCTTAATATATCATGGGTTGCATATTCATGAGTAACATTGTAAAGCTGAATATATACGTGGAGATTGTGGCTCTAATTGAGCAATGAATTCTGTATGTATAATGTTATTATTTTTAATCTTTAGTTTTTTCTCAACAGATTTTCCCTACAGCATGTCAGGCTTCTGTGAATTCATTTCATATACAAGCAATTATAAAATAATGAAATAGGAAGGAGACTTATCATTGCTTTGCAAATTTCTTCCCAAGTAAAATTTCTTTTTATATTCATTCTGCATGTCAAAATCGTGTATATTTTGCATAGAGCCCTAGAAATATCAAGGATCCAAGACTAGAATAGATCAATACATTGTAAAAATTCAGATTAAAATCAAAACATATCACTGAAGGCAGACTAATAGTTTTATACTCCTTCAAGCAAATATTTATTTTAAACTATTTAGTATGTATCTAAAGGAGAAACTGAGTTATTTTGAGAGAAAGGGTAGAAAGAAAAGCCTAAAATAGCACATGTAGTCAGAGTAGCATCACTTTCCCAGAGAAATTCAGTTCTGGATTCAAAATTGAACCCCAATTCAGCAAAATAACACAGTAATATCCAACGTTACCAGACTGATTTTACTAGAAAGTTGTTTAATATACTCTGTTTCTATATAAGTTCCTGTGTTCTTATCCCTCATTCATGCAGATTATTTGAGAATACCATTAAACATGGATAAAATTATTCTCAAATATATTTTTATTATCCCATCATATACTGCAATATTTTAGCATCGTTATGAACACAGGAACCTGCACTACTGACAACCTCACTATTGGGTCTGTTGCAAGAAGAGATTCCACAGTTATCTCATTTTTTGGACACTAGCACATTGCCTTATATCCTGTGAATGGTTAAGGAACACAGTGCAAACTCAAACTACTTATTTTAGAGAGAATGAAAGTAAGTCAATAAACACAGACTTTGCTTTCCCACAATTGAACCACAGTAACCAGAAAGCACAGTGCATGACACCATTTAGTAACTTGCCTAGGGTTTAAGGAAGAGAGTCTCAGGAACAATTATTTAAATTACATAGATATTAAAAATTAAAAGTAACAAAAGAACTAAACATTCCATCAGCTAAATTGTTTACCAGACCTTTGCCAGTAGATGCCAGATATTATCACTCTTTCAGTTAACATGATTTATATCTAAAAGAAGAACTGTTCAGCTATTTCATGATTTGTATCATTTAGTCATTGCTTTATTGTAAAATTCACACGTTATTCTTAACCATTTGATTTGTGTTGAGTGATAATAGTATAAATTTTAGAAATATAGCCTAGTAATCATTTTAGAGTGCTACTTTTAGTATTTATATTTCATCGTATTTTGTTCAAAAAAAATTTACTAGATTAGTCATTTAAAGATTTCAGAAACCTGAAAGTACTGAGCAAGCACTCTTCCAGTGCTTCCTAAAGAGCCTTCTTCTTAGACATAGTCTCCTTAACTATTGAGCATATTTATAAGTATCTAGCTATACCATGTCTGTCATATATTAGTATATTATATTTAAGTTTTATTTATATAACTATGATGAATTAATATGTCCTAAGTTCAGTTAATAATTGAACGTGTAAAAACACTTAGCTATTGAGTCACAGTATCTATATAGATGTTAGCTATTATTTCATCAAAGGACTAAAATATGGTTTTCATTCAATAGTGAAGTCTCCCACTGTACTTAATATCTTGTTTAATTTGCTAAAAGTGGGAATGTGGCTCACACATAAAGTTTTAGAAAAACATCTGTATTACAAAATTAAGCTTGTTTGTTTTACCAGATCTTGGAGTAAAATATAAAATCCATAAAAAGCAATCCATCAAAACATCTGGTATTTAAATAAATAAATGAATAAACAAGCAAACAAACAAGAAAAGCAAACAGCTAAATAAGACATACATGAATCTTAGTGAAAACAGATATTCAATAATTTTTTAAAAACAATTTATAAATTAAGAGATGGCAAATGTCATGTCAGAAATACTTATTTTGGCTTTATTATTTACACAAATATAGTATTTAGCAGTTAATAGATAATTTGGTGAAATTAAACAAATTTTTTTCAGTAGTATCAGGGAAATCAGTCACTAAAACACTTTAATATGGCACATAAACTCACCATAAACTGAGCTTTGTCCAATTCCCTGGCCAAATGTTGAACAAATGTTTTCTTTTTCACTAGATGTATGTTAAGGAGATGAAAACATTCCTATATCTTTAGTATAATATCATTTTTTATGGAAACTTTCATCAGCCTGCTTTGAACTGCACTTATGCATGAATCCTGATTCTCTGAATGAACATCTTTGAAGGCAAAGTGTCAGTCTCCCTCAAGGACCCAAGTTCAGTTCCTAGGGCAATTATTTGGCAAAAGGTGGACGCTCCATATCGAGACTTGAATGAATGCATGAAACTTCTGTTCAATAGATCATTTTCTCGCTTTTGCTGATTGCTTAGTATATTTAAGATGTAAATGTTTGGCTGTGAAAAACTTCAACCCCAACAAGCTTTGGCTCCACTAAATAATCAGTTTATTTTCCTCACTTTAGAGTTCAGTGGTCCAATTCAGAACAGAGATCCCACAATCCTTACCGACAGTCAGGTTCCTTCAACTTTATACTCTGCCATCCTTAATGTATAGGACTTTCCCTCAAGCTTACAAGAGTGCTCTGGCTCCATTAGACATCAAGCTTTTAATTAAGATAGGAGAAGGCTGAGGCTGATGGGGAAAAGAAAGGATAACAGGAGCAAGTCAACAGGACCAATTCCTTACTTTTTCAGCTTGGAGCCCCACCTTGTAACTCCTTACATCTCCTTGACCAGAACTGTGTCTCATGACCTGTTCTATATGCAAGCCAGTCTGGGGTGGTGAATTTTTACTACCAGGCAAAAAATGAAACTGATTGATATGGTTTGGCTGTGTCCCAACCCAAATCTCAACTTGAATTGTATCTCCCAGAATTCCCACACGTTGTGGGAGGGATCCAGGGGGAAGTTATAGAATCATGGGGGCCTGTCTTTCCCATGCTATTCTTGTGACAATGAATAAGTCTCACAAGATCTGATAGGTTTATCAGGGGTTTCTGCTTTTGCTTCTTCCTCATTTTGGCAGAGGAGTCAAATTCTTGGGTGGCTCTGTCTCTGGTTCTGATCTATGGAATGATTTTTTTTTTCTTTTTTTTGTCCCCATCTCCTTCACAGCTCCTGGATCTCTTCTTTGGGACAAACCTCATTTTGTATTTTTCTCCATGGCCACATTTGAGATGGACCATAAGGAAATGCCTTTCATGGATGCACAGCAGTTTTCTCTATTCCTTGTTGCATTGAGTTCAGTGTTCCAGCAAATGACCTGGGAATTGAAGCCTTACGAACACTTTCTAGCAGTTTTCAGTGTTTCTTTAGCAGTGCACTTTCATCAGAAACGTAGTAAATGTCCTACTCATTTACTTCCGGCCAATTTCTTTGATTAGTAACCACAGGTAGAAATGTTGTCTAGGCAATGTCTGTTTTTCTTCTACCCTCACCCCCGTAGGCTTTAAGTAAATAATCATTCCATGGAGGGAATTGAAAACGACAGCATCAAATTGGAGAATTATCATTTTTTATTTCATTATGGCTGAAACATCCCATTTAAGCAGATAAATCTTGATTGAAAGTGCTAGAGAGAGGCTTTAGATCATAAACTTTTTTTTTTCCTGTAAACGGTGTCTCATCACAGCTGCTTATAACAACTTCTATTTGGCATACAGAGGCAATATTGTTGAACCATTAAAGTTTACAAAGAAATCACACTGAATTTTTATTGTATGCCAGTGATTGAGTGTTCCTTCACAACTTGAGTGTTTAACAAAGTGGTTTTCCTTTCCTTCTCTGCTGGTAAAGTGACTGTTCCTCATATGATGTTGTTTTTTTCTTTCACACAATGCTTGGATGAAATCAATAAAATAAATAAGAAGGCAATTCTGATTTACTTCTTTGTTTTACTCCTAATACTGCAGCTCAGTCAGCACATAGTCTGTGGCTCAATGGTCTTTGTTTTACTCCTAATACTGCAGCTCAGTCAGCACATAGTCTGTGGCTCAATGGTCATTGTATGAAAGTTTTTCTGAAATGTTTGAAGAGTTTACATGTGCATCAAAAAGCTGACCAGCACTTGAGACTTTAATAGTAAAGTTAACAAATGCCTAGAGCCCAATCTCTTATTGACCACCCATTCTGTATTTTAAAATCTGTTACTTGGCACAACACAATATAGTTAATTAGTGTAATTAATCTGGATAATTCATTCAGTGGCTGTTAGTAATATATTCAATGCAAAAAATACAATAAAAAGAGTAGTTTAATCATTTAGTTATTTATTTCTTTTCTTTGTTTGTTTGTTTATGACCTAATTAAAAGGCAAGGATTAGCTGTGGAGAGTGGCATTGTGACTCCATTGTTACTTCAAGGACCCCAAATTCTACTTTCAGCTCCATTAATATTAGCATGTGACTCTCTCCCACTGTGCTTTAAAAATATCTGTGACTATAGTTCATAATACTGTATTGTATATTTGAAATTTGGTAAGAGAGTAGCTCTGAAGTGTTCTCACCACACACACCCACATAATTGTGACTATGTGAGAAGATGGATAAGTTAATGACCTTGACTATAGATATCATTTTACAATGTACATGTATATCAAAATATCACATTGTGTACCTTAAATATATACATTTTTATGACAAAAATATTCGCAAGGTCAACTTTATGGGTTAAACCTCTTATGTAATCAGAGAAGTCCCTACACTCAGAAGAAACTTTGTTCTTGGTTTAATGCCTGTATTAGTCTATTTTCACACTACTAAGACATACCTGAGACTGGGAAGAAAGGTTTAATTGCTGGGGAGGGCTCAGAATCATGATGGGAGGCAAAAGGCAATTCTTACATGGCAGCAACAAGAAAGAATGAGGAGAAGCAAAAGAAGAAACCCCTGATAAACCCATCAGATCTCCTGAGGCGTATTCACTATCACGAGAATAGTACAGGAAAGACTAGGCCCCATGTTTCAATAACCTCCCCCCCGGTACTTCCCATAACATGTTGGAATTCTGGGAGATACAATTCAAATTGAGATTTGGTTGGGGGCACAGCCAAACCATATCATTCCATCCCTGGGCCCTCCAAATCTCATGTCCTCACATTTCAAAACCAATCATGCCTTCCCAACACTCCCCCCAAGTGTTAACTCATTTCCACATTAACCCAAAATTCCATAGTCGAAAGTCTCATCTGAGACAAGGCAAATCTCTTCTGCTTATGAGCCTGTAAAATCAAAAGCAAGCTAGTTACTTCCTACATAAAATGGGGGTACAGGTATTGGGTAAATATAACCACTCCAAATGGGAGAAATTGGCCAAAACAAAGGGATTACAGGGCCCATGCAAGTCTGAAATCCAGCACGGCAGTCAAATTTTAAAGCTCCAAAATGATCTCCTAGTTCCTAAATGATCTCCTTTGACCTCAGGTCTCACACTCAGGTCACACTAATGCAAGAGGTAGGTTTCCATGGTCTTAGGCAGCTCCGCCCCTGTGACTTTGCAGGGTACAGTCTTCCTCATGGCTAAATTCACGGGGCTGGCATTTAGTGTCTGTGGCTTTTCCAGGTCCACAGTGTAAGCTGTCAGTGTATCTACCATTATGGGGTGCAGAGAATGGTGACCCTCTTCTCACAGCTCCATTAGGCAGTGCCCTAGTAAGGACTCTGTGTGGGGTCTCCCACCCCACATTTCCCTTCTGCATTGCCCTAGCAGAGGTTCTCCCTGAGGCCCCTGCCCCTGCAGCAAACTTTTGCATCCAGGCATTTCCATACATCTTCTAAAATCTAGGTGGAGGTTCCAAGACTCAATTCTTGACTTCTGTGCACTTGCAGGCTCAACAGCACATGGACGCTGCCAAGGCATGGGGCTTCCACCCTGAAGCCACAGCCTGAGCTGTATGTTGACCCCTCTCAGCCATGGCTGGAGCAGCTGGGACACAGGGCACCAAGTCCCTAGGCTGCACACAGCATGGGGACCCCGGACCTGGCCCATGAAATGACATTTTCCCCCTGGACCTCGGGGCCTGTGATGGGAGGGGCTGCTGTGAAGGCCTCTGGCATGGCCTGGAGACATTTTCCACATGCTCTTGGAGATTAACATTACATTCCTTGCTGCTTATGCAAATTTTTGCAGCCAGTTTGAATTTCTCCACTGCAAATGGGTTTTTCTTTTCTCTCACAGTGTCAGGCTGTAAATTTTCCAAACTTTTATGCTCTGTTTCCCTTTTAAAACTGAATGGTTTTAGCAACACCCAAGTCACCTCTTGAATGCTTTGCTGCTTAGAATTTTTTTTCTGCCAGATACCCTAAATCATCTCTCTGAAGTTTACAGTTCCACAAATCTTTAGGGCAGGAGCAAGATGCCGCCAGACTCTTTTCTAAAACATAACAAGAGTCACCTCTGCTCAAGTTCCCAACAAGTTTCTCATCTCCCTTTGAGACCACCTGAGCATGGACCTTATTGTTCATATCACCATGAGCATTTTTGTCAAAGTCATTCAACAAGTCTCTATGAAGTTCCAAACTTTCTTATATTTTCCTGTTTTCTTCTGAGCCTGCCAAACTGTTCCAATCTCTGCCTGCTACCCAGTACCAAAGTTGCTTTCACATTTTTCAGGTATCTTTTTAGCAGTGACCCACTCCCGGTACCAATTTACTGTATTATTCCATTTTCACACTGATGAGAAAGACATACCTGAGTCTGGGAAGAAAAAAGAGGTTTAATTGGACTTACTGTTCCACACAGCTGTGGAGGCCTTAGAATCATGGTAGGAGGTGAAAGACCCTTCTTACATGGAGGTAGCAAGAGAGAATGAGGAGAAGCAAAAGAGGAAACCCCTGATAAACTCATCAGATCTCGTGAGACTTATTCACTATCATGAGAAGAGCACAGGAAAGAGCTGCCCCTATGATTCAATTACCTACTGCCAGATCCCTCCCACAACACGTGGGAATTCTGGAAGATATAATTCAAGTCGAGATTTGTGCAGGGGCACAGCCAAACCATATCAACCCCCTTTTGAAATTTTTAACAATTTTTTCTTTGAACCTGCACTTTGTAAGTGAATTCCATGAGAAAATAAAGCACGTGCATGAGTAGAGGGGATTTGATGTGTGGCTGTGTACACAGAGGCTCAGACCCTAGGCACAGAGGGCAATGAGCAACTTGTAAACAAAACAGTTACACTAGCTAGAAAGTTACAGAAAATAGCAAAGAAAACAATAAAATGCCATTTTATAAACTAATATTTAAAATTAAATTTACAATTACCCCAAAATAATTTATTTGAAGACTTAAATATTTTTAGAAAAAAAAAGTTCTATTAGTGTCATCATCTCCAGATATGCTAAAATATATATTTTAAGCTAATTTACCAGAACCTTATCCACAAATTTTTACATTCTATAAAATACACTTAAGAGTTACAGTACCAATTGCATTAGCATAAAAATCCTTTCCAAAATTAGAAATTATAAATATTATCTGGATCTTGCATTTGTCCAAAGAAACTGGCATCACTTTCAACTATACTGCTTAAAAATGAAATTGCTAAAGTATATATTTAGAAGACAAAGTAAATTGATTTGCAGAAAATTTAGTCCAAAGAATCATATAATCAATCAAATGTCACATTAACAGACCATTATTATTTATTGTTATAAAAGTTATGAATGACATAATTTTTTTGTCCTTTGTAATATGATTTTCTGTCATTATATTGTTACTTATATATTACTTTACCCCCATATCAAATTTTAAAGTAACAAAGTATTTTCACGAAATATTTTATATTTATCTAAACATTTTCCCCTGATTTTTAAACAAGAGTCCCACATTTTTATTTGTACTGGGTAATGCAAATTTTGTAGCTGGTTCTAGATATTTGATAAAACTTCTGGCATTATGTCTACACTGCAGCAAGGAAATAGTAAAAATGAAATAGCAAGAAAAAAAAGCCATATGTGATAAATATTTCTGTCTTAGAAATACCTTCTTTCGGGAGGAGCCAAGATGGCTGAATAGGAACAACTCCGGTCTACAGCTCCCAGCGTGAGCGATGCAGAAGACGGGTGATTTCTGCATTTCCATCTGAGGTACCGGGTTCATCTCACTAGGGAGTGCCAGACACTGGGCGCAGGTCAGTGGGTGCGCGCACCATGTGCGAGCTGAAGCAGGGCGAGGCATTGCCTCACTTGGGAAGCACAAGGGGTCAGGGAGCTCCCTTTCCTAGTCAAAGAAAGTGGTGACAGACAGCACCTGGAAAATCGGGTCACTCCCACCCGAATACTGCGCTTTTCCGACGGGCTTAAAAAATGGCGCACCAGGAGAATATATCCCGCACCTGGCTCGGAGGGTCCTACGCCCACGGAGTCTCGCTGATTGCTAGCTCAGCAGTCTGAGATCAAACTGCAAGGCGGCAGCGAGGCTGGGGGAGGGGCGCCTGTCATTGCCCAGGCTTGCTTAGGTAAACAAAGCAGCCAGGAAGCTCCAACTGGGTGGAGCCCACCACAGCTCAAGGAGGCCTGCCTGCCTCTGTAGGCTCCACCTCTGGGGGCAGGGCACAGACAAACAAAAACACAGCAGTAACCTCTGCAGACTTAAATGTCCCTGTCTGACAGCTTTGAAGAGAGCAGTGGTTCTCCCAGCACGCAGCTGGAGATCTGAGAACAGGCAGACTGCCTCCTCAAGTGGGTCCCTGACCCCTGACCCCCGAGCAGCCTAACTGGGAGGCACCCCCCAGCAGGGGCACACTGACACCTCACACAGCAGGGTACTCCAACAGACCTGCAGCTGAGGGTCCTGTCTGTTAGAAGGAAAACTAACAAACAGAAAGAACATCCACACCAAAAACCCATCTGTACATCACCATCATCAAAGACCAAAAGTAGATAAAACCACAAAGATGGGGAAAAAACAGAGCAGAAAAACTGGAAACTCTAAAAAGCAGAGCGCCTCTCCTCCTCCAAAGTAACGCAGTTCCTCACCAGCAACGGAACAAAGCTGGATGGAGAATGACTTTGACGAGCT